>NC_000002.12:20843088-20994603 GCF_000001405.40 Homo sapiens | reverse complement strand
ATCTAAGCTTTTCGCCTCTGTGACCGTTTCTTTTTATTCTCTATACAAAAATCCTCCAAGGCCCAGCAAAGAATGTCTCTTAGTCCTTGAAGACCCCCCGATCCCTGCTGAAGCACACCCAGGCCACGTGCTTGCCTTGATCTAGTTGTCCTCGCCTGTGTCACTCCCCAGGCCAAACTGAAATCAACCAGGCCCTTCCAAGGGGCTTCCCCTGAGGTCTCGTCAGTTTTCCTCCATGTCTCACCTAGTGGCTGGGTAATTGAAGGGCCTCCTCTTGGGGATTCCCTGAGTTTGCTGAAAACAATCATTCCCTTGCATGGATGCCTCTGAGACAACTCACTCAGCACTGGTGTGTGCTGCCGTCCTCTGACTGGCTAAGCACACACACTAAAGTGGCATTTCTAGGCTTGTTCTCTCAGAAAAAGGTTTGGATGGGAGATGGAAGGGGCTGCAGTTTCATGAGGCTGACTGAGGGCTTGCTGTCATGCTCTATTGAGTGGGTTTAGCCTCCACCTCTGCCTCCCCGTCCCGGGCACCCTGCCTCCCCACTCACAGGTCTGGCTGCCCATGCAGGGCTGACTCTTTCCTATGACAGGTACAGAGATAAGCCGTGGATGCAGGGTCTCCCCCTCAGCTCTGTGAATGGGGCAAAGCCATGATGCTGGGACGGAGTGCACATACAACCTCAACTCCCCAATAATACCAGAGGCAGAGAGTCATCCAAACATAGGACTAGCCCGCCCCTAGACTCCCCTTTCCTTCTCCAGACTCCCTGGGGCAGTAGGGGGCTGAGTCCTTGGGGGAGTGTAGGGGATAGAGTTTAAAGATAATTTCTCTGCTGCAAAAAAGAGGCACTTGTAAGCTAATTTCTGAACAAAACACAGCCCTGTCTCACTTTACGCGCTCACCATATCCTGTAAAGTTTGGGCATTTCCTTGAATAAATCAAAGAATATTTGAAATTTACAATATAAGATAACCTGATGGAGAATATTCCTGTAAAACAAAGTTTCCTCTTACCCTGTGAACCATTTTACCTAAAATGAGTCTTCTTTGCATGTCAGGATTTTTTGATGGAATTTTCTTAAATCAGGTTGGCCCTGAGCCAAGTCCTACTGAGGCCACTGGAAGATGGTGTGGAACAAAGGCACCGGGTGGCAGGAAGGATTTGACTCTGCTGTTCCCAAAACCCTTCTAGCCTGGGAAATAATCAATCAGGAGAAATCAAGGCAGTTCCTTGGCTTGTGCATGCAATGCATTTCTCTCACACTCACCCGAGATGGGCAAGGGAGCAAGAGATGTTTCTGTCACCTCATCCTTACTGACACATGCAGAGGGCAACATTTCCCTGGAGAGTCAGTCCCTGAGCCAGGCTCCACTCTCGCCTCCAGTGCAGGCTCCTCCTGCCACTTCGCATCACTCCATGCTCTGCTGCCCACTCTCAGGTGTGGCTTACTCCCTTTCCCCTCCTATGTAGGGGCACATCCTCCCCTGACTCTCTACAGAAACATTCAAGGTCCTCTCAAGTGCCACCTCCTCCAGGAAGTCCACTATGCAAGCTACACACTCTGATCTGCGGGCCCTTTCCTCAGTATGGGAATGAGTGTCTCTGTCCACTCTCACTCCAGTGTGAGGACAGGATTTGGTTGCATTCCCCCAGGAAGGTACAATGGCACACTCCAGCCCCAGAGGTGGCCTTGCATGGGGCCAGCCACAATTTAGCAGCCTGCAAATGCAGTCGAGTTTCCTCTTCAGCACCTTTGCTAACTGAGCTGTTGTGTAAAGAGTAGGTGAGGTGGTAAAGAGCTTGGACTTGAAGATTCGCAGACCTGAGTTCCAGTCCCAGCTCTGCCTCAGTGGTACCCTGTTGCATCACTTCCCTAAGCCCCCATTTCTTCATCTTGCAAAATAGCCCTCTCACAGGAGCACCTGGTGAACGCCGAAGGCATTGTATACCCAGAGCCCGGCACACTGCCCAGCACACAGTAGGTGCTCAGGAAAAGTGTGTGGAATGCCTGAATTATGGTCTGGAGTTCACGCATTCCTGAGCCAAGTAGTCACAGCCCCAGGGCTGTGTCCCGAGTCTGCCTGGCTTTGACTCCAGGAACAAGCTTGCTCAGCCACTGGTCCAGCACAGGCCAGCTCTCTGCACTATCTTGTTTCTTGCAGAAACTTTCTCTTCCTGGACAGAACACACGCTTTCTGTCAGCTTTTATTTCTGTGATGGCTTGCTTACGAGCAGGGCATTCTGTTCTAGGAATTTCTTGTTAAAATATTTCATTTAATTAAGTTTTTACAACCAGCTCTGCTTTGTGTCTGTCAGAAGGTAGGGGCCAGTGCAGACCTACCCTCAGCTCTCTGGGAGGCCAGGTCACAGAGACTCCGGGGAGAACAAACCCAGGCCTGAAGGCTGCATTCCTGGATCTCCAGGAATTCTCATCTACCCCAAAAGAGACGGGTTTGTCAGAAGATGCATCCCCACAACAGGCCCACTGGAGACAGAGGTACCACGAAGAATGTTGCCTGTCCCCACTCCATTGGGGTCTCTCAGCCTAGGGACTGCTCTGTGTCCGAGCCCAAAACAGTCCAGAGCAAGCGTGCTGTGCATTATTACAGCCTCCGCTTCGCATCCCCCGAAACTCCACCCAAGGCCCACACCTTGGCCTGTTCCTTCCCAGAACCCTTCCTCACCCTGTTTCTCTGGCCTGTTCATGCCCTGCTCAGGCCCTCCTTCCTGGGAGCCCTCCCCACCCCTCCATTACCTGCTCTCCTCCAGCCATGCTCCAAGCGGAGATTATACCTCCTTGCCCAACCCCATAGTCTTTCCACCTTCTCACCCTCAACCTTTGCACACTTCTGGGCCACAGCTGGGACACCTGTCTCCTCCACAGGCCAGGCTCCAGCCTTGCTAAGGAGGCCTCAGGAGGTGCTAAGCTCAACTGAGCATGTTGGTCCTTTTCCCACAGAGCCCAGCTGCCACCTGTCAGGAATTTGTGGTAATGGACGTGACAGAAAGTGTCCTTCTTCCCCACTTGTACCTTAAAAGGGTACAGACTATGTGTGCCTAGCAGGCAGAATATCAGGCCACTTGGAACAAGGTAGTGTGAGAGGGCCTGGGTGAGCAGGTGAGAAGGGAGTCTTGTGCAGGGATGTGGCTGCACTCAGTGCCCAGCACAGAGTCTTGGGAAATTTTCTTAGCACAGCAAACAAACTGCCTCCCTGTGAGTCTCCCAGTCTGGTGGAAAGCCGGGGGACCACCTTAAGGGGATACAGGAGGTGGGCTCTCATGGCCCATCCAAGGCTGTCCCCTGACCTGTCACAGGGTGGCTCTGGAGGCTGAGCGCTGCCTTCATGGGCTCCTTCCTCCCAGCAGGAGGTCTCCCAACTCCGCCCTGTACCTGGCCTAAGGGAACCACCGTGGCCCCTGGATAACTCCAGGCTCCTGGTGGCGTTGCTAAGAGGCCGGCTGCCACCTGTCAGGAATTTTTGGTCAGGGATGTGGCAGAATGTGCTGTTTTCCCACACTCGTATTTTAAAAGGTTACAGACCATGTGTGCATAATAGGCAGAACATTAGGTCACTTGTCTCACTTAGAACAATAATCCGTTTTGCTAGGGGTCAGGTTGACACAAAGAATCTGTCCAGACCAGGTCTCTTGATGGGACTTAGCCCTCCCCTCAAACTAATGAAATTTTCAACTCGTGGGTACTTGAGTTAATAAAGTGTGCCACACATCTGCTGGCAGAAGAAAGCCCTGGGGTTCAATTTTGAGATCACTGACATAATGTTTGAGTGGCTTCCTGCTGGCGCCCGGCGGGACACCAAATTAAGGAAAGCTGCACAATGAATGTGTGAGAAAAAACATTAGTGTATAAACACAGAGGCCAAGGAACCCTGAGGGGAGCGTGAGCGAGGGGAGGCCATGGAATTACAGAGGGAGGGTCGGCGGGGGCTGCCGCTGGGATTTCACGCCAGTGGCCCACAGGTAGAGAATTATTTTAAAGGAAATTGGCACCAACATGATCTTAGGTCAAAACGATGAAAAAACTAAAACCAGCATATTTTCAATGACTGTTGAATTAAGTGCTAAAGTATAATGTGAGTGGTTCAGAATGAAACAGAGAGCGGGAGGTGAGACTGTCAGACAGCCCCAGGAAAGGTTCCGTTCCAGGTCTGGAAACCCCTGAGAATCCAGACCCTTGGGCCTCTCCTCTGTCACTGCTCAGGCTAGGACGAGACCAGGACTGCTCAGGGACAGGAGGAAGGAGCCCATTGCCCACTGAGATGGAAACTCTCCACTGGCTTTTCCAGCTGTTCACACAGAGAAAAGCAACCTTCCAGTCCTTCAGCGTGTGAAAAGCCTGATGAGCTCTCCTTTCTGGTCACTTACAGACTCTGAAGAGGAAAGGGAAAGAGGATGGCCCTGATTATCTGTGTCTTCCCTCGGGGAGCAGGTGGAGGCCTTCTTCCTGCCATGGCCTGCCTCCCAGGAAACTCCACTGTGCTGCTTTGAGGATCAGACGCTGAGGTCAGTGTAAACCAAGGCTGGACCAGGAGAGCCCTTCCCCAAAAGCTGAAGAGTGAAGGGTGCTGGTCAGGGCTCAGGCTTCCTCCTGACACATTCCTGCAGCACCACCAGAATAGTCCTGTGTCCCCCAGACACAGATCTAGAGATCTATGGGGACTGGTAAAGGCCATACCTAACTCCTCCAGGCATGGCCAGCCCTCTGCCCCAGGCAAGCTCTGCTGGGACAGTAAGGTCAGAGTAGGGAGACCCCTGGTCACTTTTCCTTAGTTTTTCTTGTTCCCTCAATACATCACCTCCAGTCCCTATCATGAACCTTGGGGGCACACAGAGGAGCTGAGGGAGGTGAATACATGAGGATAAGCAAATGAGCTCAACACAGCTCTCTGTTCAGTGCCGCACACAGGAAGGGGCTCTGTGGCCAGCCCCAGCTGGCAGGATCCCTGCCCCCTGAGCAGCTGCCAGCCCTTCTGACATCTGGGGAAAAGGGCTCAGCAGATGTGCCTCCAGGGCTTTGGCAGAAGCCAGACCCCTTCCCTTTCTTTTCTCAGTGGGATGCCACCCCTTCACTCACTTCCTTGCCCCAAAAAGGCTCCCAGAGGCCCCCTCCTCTGGGACCCCCAATCTCCCAACCTGCAGACCTCCCCCTTCTCTAAGCCAACTGCCCTCTTTCCTCCTATTAGTTTGTCCCGTGCCCTCCCTTGGCTGGGCCTGGGTTTCACGGGTCTCATCCCTTCCATAGCCCATGACTGGGGTCCCAAGCTCCTGGCAGGGGCTCAACATAACCCTGTTGATCAACTTCAGGGCAGAATTGGTCCCAACCACACATCTTCATGGATGCCAGGAGCCAGTGCTTCAAGGGAAGGCTGTGCTCCCTTCCCATCCCTTTCTCCGTGAGAACTCAGCAAGTGAGTGAGGAAAGGCAGGGTGAGGCGGGGCCAGTCCCCAGGAGGGGCCATGCTGTGATTGATGATGCCCTGGCGTTCTCCAGAGGCTCACCAGGCAACTGAGTGTGGCTGCTGGCTGAGGAATGCAGAGTGAGTGGCCCAGGCCCTCCTCGAAGCTCCAGGGCTGTTCTCTTTGCCTGGAGAAAATGTCCTTGCTCACAGTTTCCCAGCATTCAGCCCAAATCTCACCAAGGGAAAGAGGCTGTGTCCTTCTGTCCCAGCCTCCAACTGAGAACACGAAAAGAACAGACTCCAGGCCCAACTGCCTGAGTTCTAATTCCAGCTCTCTTGTGCACTTAGGGGTAACCTTGGACAGGTTAGGGAGCTGTTCTGTGCCTCCACTTCTGCATATATAAAACGGGAATAATCATTGCACTACCTCAGAGGGTTCTGGTGAAGACTTAGAAGTTCATTGTGTAAACTTCTCAGACTAGTGTCATGCAATGTAAATGCTGCCCAAGTGCTTTTATCTGATCATCCCTGAGTACCCATCAAACACCTCTACCTCTCTCACCATCTCCTAAAGTCGCAATAGGTTTCTGTCATGTTTGGTACCTGATGCTGGGAAGCTTATGTCTCTGTTGAGTTTCTGCCTCTGCCATACATACTTAAGGGCAGCATGTATGCAGGCCTCAAAATGTGGGGAGGAGGTTTCTCAGGGGACCAGGCCGGCATAGCCTGCTAACCTGGACAAGCCATGCCGCTGTTCCATCCACCAGGGAAGAGGTCCAGTGATGCCCTCTTTTCTCCTCTCCCACCCTGAAGTCACTCAAAGCCCAAATCCCTGGAGGGTGTCTGCCACAGCACACGTGTGATGAACAGGAGCAAGTTATCAGTCTTCAACAACAACCTACACATCTATTGAAAGTAATGAAATGCACATCATCCGGCACTGATGTCTCTCCAAGTCCCAAAGTCGGCTGTGCAGCCCAGGGCTCAGCAACGTGGGGAGGCCATTCCCAGCTGGAGGTTGCTCATGCCTCAGTGGGCCCGCAGGTCGCAGCCCCAGGGAGGCCTGAGGTCAGGCCCCCATCACACCTCCACAGACCACATCAGTCTCATCTGTGCAAATAAACAATAGGACCGAGTGATCTCTAAAGGCCTTCAGATTCTGGCAGACTTCAGAGGGGAGCCCCTATAGTATCATCATTACCATCACCGTCATCATCAGGAGTAATTTAACAGAGCTCAGCTCCAGATCACTTCTTGCAAGGCCATGTTAATAGTGCTGCAACAAATGCATAGTAACATCCTGTGTCTTTATTTTACAGACGGGGAAACTGAGACTCAAAAAGGTTAAGTAGCTTCACTTTTAAAACTTATGAACAGCCGAGTAGGCATAAACTCCAGATCTGTGTGATCTCCAAAATCATACCTGGAAACATTCACTGTGCCATTTTATAATAAAACTGATGACACCAATAATAGTAACAACTTCCACGTGCCAGGCACACCATATGGGTGTAAGCTTATTTCACCCTTACACCAACCTTATACAAAGGTAGGTATGATCATCCCAATTTTTCAGGGGGATTAAATAACTTGTCTAGAGCCAACAGAGTACTCTAACTTGTCAAATTCAATTGTGTCATTCCTTTTGTTGAAAATCAAACATTAACCGGCACACATCTTCCTAATCACTTACCCAGGTTTATTTCTGAGGACAGAAGGACTGATATTCTTCCAATTAGCACAAGGAAGGCCATGCCAGCCGTTAAAGTATTGAAGTACTTTTGGACCAATTCGTATATAGGGGCTGCCCCCCAAGCTCCCCAAACTCTCACACATACCCCAGTCATTCCGGCTTCTCCCGCAGGACCCTCTGGCCTCCCAGGACTCCAGCCAATGCTGAGTTACTGACAGTGTTTATTCTGATTGGTCAGTGACTGTGGTAGGCTGGGTACTAAACATCCTGAGTAGGGCCCTTGGTAATGGTAACCGAAGCATATAGACACAGGCATATAGGTGTACACATTACATTGACTCCTGGCCCAACACATGCACACGGAGGACACAGAAATGCAGAAACACCTACATACAGACACAGGCTTGTGCACACACACACAAACACATGCACGTGCAGATACACATATCTGCATAAATGTATGCATGCATGCACACATACATGAACAGATGCACCCCCCCATGTCCACATGCACACATACATGAACACATGCATACCCCCAGTGTCCTCCAAATTTCAACAGTTTGGTCCTAAGACAGGAAGAGCCACCCCACAGACCTGCTCAGGAGACAGAGGGTTCCAAAGAGCTCAGCACACAAAAAGCACTGCACTAGAAGTCTAGCAACAAGACTCTAGCTTGTTACATGACCTTGCGCAAGTCAGAGCTATGGCACTGCAGGCGCAAAAAGATTTACAGCATGGCTTAACCTCTCCAAGGGTGAAACAGAATCATAGTCCCCATGTGCCAAGATCCTCGTGGTGTTTCTGTGAGATGCCAGTGCTTTGTCATCCCCATGTTCTCCTCCCTGCCTTTCGTCCTCCCTGGGAAAAAAGCAATAGAAAGGAGGGCTCCAGATGGACAGAGAAGGGCGAGCAGGGGAGCAGGGGTCTCTTGCTCCACACTAGAGTGGGAAACAGAAACTGAGCCAGCACCTCCCTAATCCTCCACTTGGTCTCTTTTGCCCAAAGTGAGGTCCAGACTATGAGGATTCAAGAATGTGCCTCACAGGCATCCCAGGATCCCAGCTCCTTATTAAACATTTCCATACTCATTTGGGCACAATCAGAATTTTTTAATCATCTCCTGAGCATCAATTTATGGGGATAGATCATTTCCAGATGTGATTCAACATACCAAGAAAAAAACTGCACTCATTGATTAACAAATGATTTCTAGATGGAGAATACATGTGGCCAGCAATTTGCAGTGGAAATTCTTGCATCCAGTTTTTTTTTTGTTTTTTTTTTTTTGAGTGGTGGAGAAGCCAGGAATCTCCCTGGCCTAGCTTGTCTCTTTTATGCAGAGGTTTCTTCCCCAGGCTGAGTCCAAATGCATCTGCTTTTGACCAGATCAAACAGGAGCTGAGAAAGAACATTGGCCTTTACCAGATCCTCCCTCTTTCTTCTACCCTCCTTTTGCTGGTGATTTCTCATGACCCCCATGCTTTGAGCTGAGAGTTTGAGCAAATCATACAAAGGGAAAGAATTCTTAGCTGCCAATCCAAAGACGGCTGTCTAGTCTATACCTTCGGCAACTGCTCAAGTGACCTGCAGCAATGTTGGCACTAAGAAAGCCTCACCTGTCTGTTTCTACTCATTATTCATTTCTACTCATATTCTACTCATTATTCATCTACTCATTACTCATTATTCTACTCATTATTCATTATTCATTGTGCCCCAATCCATGGAAGACATTGCTAATTGAGGACTGCACAACTTTCCCAGAGATCCTTCATTGGATGTGCTAGGCACCCACTAAAAATCTGCTCCTGTCTCAAGGATTCAAGTCTGGGTGAGACTTGGTGTCCTTAGCCTGGGCTGACAATTCAGTGGAGGAGCTACTTCCAGGTGCACCTGCTACAGAAGACAGCATGAAAGCAAAGCCTTCCTGGGCAGAGTCTTGGGATTCCAGAAAGAGAGGAATTAAGGTTGGCATTTGGGCTCTGATATAGGAACTTAGCTGTTCAAAGAGGGATGTGCCCATCCTAGAACAAAAATAAAGAGAACTTGGCAGAATGATCCAGATTTTGTCAAAGCCACTAGAGTTTTAGTTCTGGCCACACTTCAGCAGCAGTCTCCTGTCCACGTGGGGATCGTTTTGCTGCTTTTCTTGGCTTTTCCGAGCCCCTGCAGTTCCCCTAGATGCTCCACATTCCATTAGTTAATTGGTTTGTTCCTTCTACTCTGTGCATAGCAGAGATCACATGACATTCGCACTGTTCTCAACCCTCTTTCAAAGGGTATCAGTTCCTCCAACAACCATAAGTGATTCTCAGTTCTTGGGTGTTTTACTGGGCCCCTGGAAGGGCGAAGGTGCCTATCAAAAAGGAAAACATCTGTATCTTGGGATGCAACCAAGCCACAACTTAATTTTCTCCTCTGGCTGTACTTTTTTTTTTTTTTTTTTAGTCAGAGTCTCCCTCTGTCGCCCAGGCTGGAGCGCAGTGGCCCAATCTCAGCTGACTGAAAGCCCGCCTCCCGGGTTCATGCCATTCTCCTGCCTCAGCCTCCCAAGTAGCTGGAACTATAGGTGTCCGCCACCACGCCCGGCTAATTTTTTGTATTTTTAGTAGAGACGGGGTTTCTCTGTGTTAGCCAGGATGGTCTCGATTTCCTGACCTCGTGATCCGCCTGCCTCGGCCTCCCAAAGTGGTGGATTACAGGTGTGAGCCACCACACCCAGCCGTAGTTCTTGAGAAGTAACAAAAATGGGGCTGGGGTGTCCTTGTCTCTGATAAACAGGTCACACTCTGTAGCTGGATAAACAAAGTGCTTGGCTGAAAATAAGATGTTTTTTGGCTGGCGTCTCCAAAACGTGACAGATTCTTCATGGATCTGTTATTTAAAGCATGCAGCTAGCTCTCCCTGCCTCCATGCGCTGCCTATACCAGACGTTGAGAATCAAGCAGAGTGCAAATGTAGCACCAGCAATGTTGACACTAAGAAAGCTAATGCTTTTTGAGTACATTCGAGGAGCAGTATTTTGTCTGCATTTTTTCCCTTCAATCTTTAGCGCAACCGTCTGATGTTGGTGTTATTATTCCCATTTGACAAATGAGAAAACCAAGGCTAATGAGGTTCAGCAAATTGCCCAAAGACACACAGCTAGTAAATGGTGAAGCAAGGATTTACGCAACTCTAACTCCAGAACCTGTGGTCTTAATTGTTCCAGGCTATGTCTATGCACTCCCCATCCATCCCCTGCCATCCACCTCATGCCCAGTCACTCCTGGCTTGAACTTGTCACCATGACAATAAGCATTTATTTGGGCCACAACACTCCTAAGATGCTCAGCCAATCAGAATTGCTTTTTGTTCTTCTCCCAAAAAGTTTTGGGGCTGAGTTCCACAGGTGGAGCTTCTGCCTGGCCAGGGAAGCAGAGGGGCTCCAATCCAGGCCTCTGCCTCAACGGAATTGTCATGGCTCCGACAGAGGGACAGGAATGTTTCTGATCAGCATGGAGCAGACTGAGAGGGGGTGAGTGGCTAGTTACTGCCTCACAGCAGGGCAGGAAATTCAATGTGAAGGCTGAAACACAGATAATTGACAGTCTGTCGTTTTCACAGCCAAAAGCTACTTTCTCAACCAGAGCAGGAATTCTATATTGAGCATACCCCTTTGTCACAACCCAGGATGATGACTTTCAAACGCAAATATGAGATAATAACATGCAGAAATTTGTCATAAGTTCTCAGTTAATGATTCACATTGACCCTCTAGCCAGATCAATTACCACCAACAGGCATTGCTAGCTAGAGTTTCCTTACAGCTTCCCCTACATGTCCAGGGCCCTGGGGAGTCACTTGAGCCAGGAAAGAGTCGGGGCTGGTGTCTGTGCAGGTGCTTCTGGGCTGGATGCCCAAGAACTTCCAGACTGGGGGAAAGCCTGCACCCATTCTGCCCTCCTCATTATTGTCACCTGAACTGGATGGATTTTTCCAGGAGACAAACAACTGCTCAATATGCCATTGGTTTTCTTCCTGATACCAGTTCATTCCCTAAAATATTTTCTGAGTTAAACTGGCCTCCTCTGGTATAGGACAGAGTTCCTCCTGGACAGTGTTTGGAAGGTCATAGGTTCAATCTTCCCTCTGAGTTACCTTGGTCTTCGACACTACTCCAGACCCTAGAGAACAATCCCAGTGACCTGTGACCCTGGGCTCCCATCCTGGAAAGTCACTGGATTCCAAGCCCCTAGGACTCTCCCCCCTCCTCCGGGGCCCTGCAGCTCAGATTCTCTTCTTCATAGTTGTAGAACTTGCCCTGCTCGTGTTTCCTCGAATATCTCTCTCTGCTTCTTGGACTTCTTCCTTGTCGTTACCCTCTTACCTCTGAATTGGCTTTGAAACTAGTCTTTTCTGAACTGTTAGCTGGGCTTCCAGCCACACTTCAGATGGCCTCAGTGAGTGGAGGTCTTTTGGGGGCTCCCAAAACAAACAGACTCTTTCCATTTCAACGGTCTCTTAAGGAACTCGGAACATGTTTCCTGGGGCCAGACTAGAGGAAACCATGTGGCCTGATTCTTTCCCCACTCACAGCGAGTGACTGTGGTTTAACCTTTTCAAATCTACATCTCTGCATCCCAGGGCACCTGTCCCAGGTGTCTGTCCTGGGAACCCTGCCCTTATATCCCAGCATCCCCCAGAAGGGAATGTGCGTGCAGCTTCTGCATCCCTATAAACTTCACTCAATTAAATGAAGCACCTATTTCAAGACTTTGACAAACTCAGTGAGTCCCAAACCTACTTTCCCATCATCCCCCAAACACTAATCCCTGAACCTAGTGAACTTCCTATTCTCCATACTCCCTATCTCATGGGTTTCATACCTCAGAGTCCTCCCCCCATGTCACAGGTCAGCCCAAACTCCTGGGAATTCCCCTCCCTCATTCAAAATGCATTTGCAGTGTCTCTTGCATCTGTCTTTGATGAAATATCCCCACTGCCCATGTCCCTTTCATGTGAGTTTCAACACAGCCCCAGCTGTGGGCCTGCATGACTGGGATTGGTAGTGGGAGGAGAGGGATAGCATATGATCAAGGTAAGTCAGTCTAATTGATCTCTTTCCTTTTTCCTACTCACTCCAGAATTTGAACTAAAAGATACAGAAGCTACAGTACAAAAAGTTTAAGGCACTGGCACAGAAAGGTCACGTAGAGTTAGGGTCACACTAGGTGCCAGAGCAAACCCAAATCCTGGAAGAGCTGAAATTCTGAAGTTCTAAGAGCACAGAAATGAAGTTCCTTGCAGAGGAAGCCCCAGAGAAGGATCCTAAGCTGAAAGAAGAAGAGAAGGGTAGCAATGCCATCCCAGAGGGAGACAGAGGGACAAAGGTGGACAAGCACCACCTGACAGTTTGCCACATTCCAGGAGGCCGGGCAGCACTTTAGCAGCCCTTTGTTCTTACTCTTTATTCCTCTGATTTTTATTTCCTATCATCAAATAATCCTCAATGGAGCCAAAAGCTTAGTGTGGCTATTTAACTTTTTACATGCTCATGACCTGACTCCGCAACTAGGATGTACCTCCCATGCCCCACTCATCTCAGCCTCCTCCAACCAGGCCCAGGTCCAGGAACCCACAGAGGCATTTGCCAGCAGCAGCATCATTCTCCGAGAAGATTTTTACTTCTTCAAATCTGTTCACTGTCCCAACAATCCTGGAATATTGGCCATGGCCCAGCCTCGTCCTTGGCTCTCTTCCTGACACTCTTTCTCCTCCACTTCAATCCTTCCTGTCACCCAGGGAAACCCCTGGGATGGGAGTTACCAGGAAAAGGAGACAAATATCACATACCCTGCAGGTGGCTAACAAGTGGCTTGCAGAGTTGTTCATTCTTTCATTACAGATCCATCCATCCATCCATCCATCCATCCATCCATCCATCGACACTTCCGCTGATCCACCCATGCATCATCCATCCATCTATCCAATCTTACATAGAGCACCATTCCTGGACTCACTGGGCTTGGAGATACAAAGTGAAATAACACCGAGTCCCTACCTTGTACTCAAAGAGTTCACAATCTGAGCCCACATAACATTCCTCAGGGGCCAGTGTTCTCAAATCTCACCCAAGAGGTGTAGCCAGAAACAGAGGAGGGATAAGCTACTGGGGTCTTTCCCAGGGGTCTTCATTCTGACATTGACTCTCCCTAGAGTAGGAGAGGGTTTTCAGGCAGCAAAGAGAAGGGCAGATGTGGGAGCAGGGCACTCTACATCTACTGACACCATATGACAAGGTGACTCCTTTCCTTGTCCAGGTATAAGGCCAAGCCCAGGAAATGGGAAACTGCCCTTTGCAACACCCAGTCCTTCACTGGGTCTGTGTGGCTCAGAAGAAGGGCACAGCAGGGGCTGCATTGTCTTGGCCAAGTTGAGAATATCTGCCATGGGGTGTGTGCTCTGCCAGGCTCTGAGATCTGGGGGTACAGGGTACAGACCTGGTATTTATTCATGCATGCAGACCCAAATCCCCAAGTCTTCTCCCACATACCTCCTACTCTCGAAAATAGCCAGCTCCTGGGTGTGTAGTGCCAGAAGCCATCTCTTCCAGCCACTTGACTTTTTGATGAGAGGAAAGCTCTCCTTGAGGCTAACTTTCCAGGCATCAGTCAGAGTCCAGGCCCTCATTTGATAGAGACCTCACTGGAAGCTGATTACACTCATGCCCTCTTAATGTCCCACAGAGGCCAGACCCAGGTCCCTTCCAGCTGCCCTTCAGGCACTTATAAAAACAGGGTTCTGTCATAACTTCATTATTTGCCCGCCTTCTTTCTATGTAAATTCCTTCCCATTTTCAAAGCTGGCTGTCTAATTACGCTGTTCCAAGGCCTTGGCTATACTGCCTCAGTCTCCCTCCCCTGGTTTTACTTTTTGGGGCTGGATAGTTTCCTATTGTCCTGTCCATTCTAGAATGTTTAGCAGCATCCCCAGCCTCTGAGGCTGGCAGCATCTCTTTGCCAATAGTGAAAACTAAAAATGTCTCTAGGCATTGCCAAATGTTTCCTGGGGAACAAAATCCCTTGATTGAGAACTACTGCTTCAGAGGGACACAATCTCGCCATCTCCCTGGGCAGGACTCCGTCTCTATGAGCTGAACAGCTTTTTTTATATATATATATACTTTAAGTTTTAGGGTACATGTGCACAATGTGCAGGTTTGTTACATATGTATACATGTGCCATGTTGGTGTGCTGCACCCATTAACTCGTCATTTATATTAGGTATTTCTCCTAATGCTATCCCTCCCCCAGCCCCAACCCACAACAGGCCCCGGGGTGTGATGTTCCCCTTCCTGTGTCCAGGTGTTCTCATTGTTCAATTCCCACCTATGAGTGAGAACATGCGGTGTTTGTTTTTTTGTCCTTGTGATAGTTTGCTGAGAATGATGGTTTCCAGCTTCATCCATGTCCCTACAAAGGACATGAACTCATCATTTTTTATGGCTGCATAGTATTCCATGGTGTATATGTGCCACATTTTCTTAATCCAGTCCATCATTGTTGGACAAATATCATACTGAATGGGCAAAAACTGGAAGCATTCCCTTTGAAAACTGGCACAAGACAGGGATGCCCTCTCTCACCACTCCTATTTAACATAGTGTTGGAAGTTCTGGCCAGGGCAATCAGGCAGGAGAAGGAAATAAAGGCCATTCAATTCGGAAAAGAGGAAGTCAAATTGTCCCTGTTTGCAGATGACATGATTGTATATCTAGAAAACCCCGTCATCTCAGCCCAAAATCTCCTTAAGCTGATAAGCAACTTCAGCAAAGTCTCAGGATACAAAATCAATGTGCAAAAATCACAAGCATTCTTATACACCAATAACAGACAAACAGAGAGCTAAATCATGAGTGAACTCCTATTCACAATTGCTTCAAAGAGAATAAAATACCTAGGAATCCAACTTACAAGGGATGTGAAGGACCTCTTCAAGGAGAACTACAAACCACTGCTCAAGGAAATAAAAGAGGATACAAACAAATGGAAGAACATTCCATGCTCATGGATAGGAAGAATTAATATCATGAAAATGGCCATACTGCCCAAGGTAATTTATAGATTCAATGCCATCCCCATCAAGCTACCAATGACTTTCTTCACAGAATTGGAAAAAACTACTTTAAAGTTCATATGGAACCAAAAAAGAGTCCGCATTGCCAAGTCAATCCTAAGCAAAAAGAACAAAGCTGGAGGCATCATGCTACCTGACTTCAAACTATACTACAAGGCTACAGTAACCAAAACAGCATGGTACTTGTACCAAAACAGAGATATAGACCAATGGACCAGAACAGAGCCCTCAGAAATAATGCCACACATCTATGACTATCTGATCTTTGACAAACCTGACAAAAACAAGAAATGGGGAAAGGATTTCCTGTTTAATAAATCATGCTGGGAAAACTGGCTAGCCATATGTAGAAAGCTGAAACTGGACCCCTTCCTTACACCTTATACAAAAATTAATTCAAGATGGATTAAAGACTTAAATGTTAGACCTAAAACCATAAAATCCCTAGAAGAAAACCTAGGCAATACCATTCAGGACATAGGCATGGGCAAGGACTTCATGTCTAAAACACCAAGAGCTAAACAGCTTTATTTCCAACAGGAAATAGGAAGTCAGCCTGGTGCCTCCTCTGAATAGTCTCTAGAGGGTCTGCCACCAGTAACTTACCCAGATCCAAAAGCTGAGAAGTCACACGTAGGCCTGCAACCACCATGGTCTTCTTGGGAGCAGAACTCACTGTACTTGGCCTTCTCCTCAATATCCTAACATCCTGGATTTTCCAGGAAAGCTGAAATTTAAACACCCTGTCCTATTGGCCCCATCAATGAACATATGTCACTCCATTTTTGATCCAGGAAATGTGGGTTCAGTACTCATGACTCCCAACGAACAAGAAGCTGCTGTATTCAAGGATTTATAGTGCTGATCAGCCTCTATTTGCAAGGTGGGTTGTGCAGCTTCTTAACCTGTATCCCCTTCCCAGGGGGACAGGATCTGGAAGCTCATTCTATGTGGTACCCCAGGGAGTTTCTAGACCAACCTCTGCTGCTTCTGTTTCTGCAGGAGAATGAGGGGGAGAGGAAGGATGCAGACCTGCAGATGGTGTGTCCTTCGTGTTAATTAGCCTTCCATGATGGGGCAGGTCACAGAGGGAGGACTATAGAGTCCACGGTGGTGATGATCCTGATGTGATGGTGGGAATGGTGCCACAGGCGGTGGTGGCAGTAGGAATAAAGGGTATACAGATGACAGCAGGAGGTAACCATTCTATAGATGACCACCCCCTGACTTAAATGCACAAGGAAGAAGCCCTTTAGAGCAGAAATGCAGCAAAGAAGCCCTTTAGAGCAGCTTCTTTTAGCTTGCTGGTTGTTGCTGGCATTATCTGATTCCCAGGCACTTCCTGGATTAAATCAAGCTTGAAATGAGGAGTCTTCATTCACAGCAGGCCCTCGGGAGGAAATGTGAACTCTGAAATGCATTTTTGGAGGAAATGTTAAAGCCTCTTTTAATATCCCAGTTGAAAGAGAAAAATGAAAGTTACAGGCTGCTCCATATTTTATGATAAACTGATGCTAACATGAGTTTGGCTGACAGAGGTGGCATTAGAAATGGGACTCTCCGAGGGGGGCTGGAGGGGATTCATTTCCCAGGTCTTCATAACAGCCTCATACTTTGGGAAGTGTGGTTGCTTACCTGGGGACACACACTCTGCAGCCTCCAGAGCTTGTCCCACTGCTGCCCTAAACATCTGACAGCATGCTGGCCAAGTCACGTGGTTGGATGATGACAGTGTCCCAACATAGGAACATTTTTACCATTTTTCATTTTTGTTTCCAAACATTTGTCTTTGCCTATAAAGCGAGGGATATCTGTGAGTGGTGGAGGTGAAGCAGCAAAGATGGAAACCATTTATGAAAGAGGCCTGTTTCTACCTTGCTTTGATTCCAAAATCTTTTTGTTCAATATTGAGAACATTTGGCAGGAATGTTTTAAAGGGTGCTATTATATAAATTGGTGATGGTCTTTTGTCAGTTCAGATAAGAACACTGTTCAATTGTATGCCTTTGCTGAAAATATGGGAAATGAAATCACACCTGTTCCGATCTCTGTAATTCAGCAGTCACAAGCCAAGAGCAAGCTTGGGAAGCTTCTCTGAGCAGTTCTGGACCACCTAGCTCTGCCAACCTGGCCTCAGCTTCTCAACACCTTCACTTGCCTTCATCTACACCAGGGCAATACCCAACCTCCATATCTGTCAGTTCTGAGAACTGCTGTTTCCCAGCTCCTTGTTTGTGATCTTACTGCTTCTGTTGAACTCCTGGTGGCCCATCAAACCTAGCTGTCTGACTCCTCCTTTCCTGTCTACGTGCTTTCTTCTCTTCATCAATCCATGACTCCCATATGCCACACTTTCACACTACACTGTAATTATCTGTTCATGTGTTGGCCTCCTGTACTAGACTTTATTTCAGGAGAGCAGAGGCCATGGCTTCAACGTTGCAGCTGCCAGAGCCTGGCACGCACAAATGTCAAATGAATATGTCTTAATTTGTTAAGTTAATGTGTCTTTATCAAGATTGCCAGGAAAAAAAAAAACAACAGCAACTCCACTCAAACTGGCCCTAAGTCAAAAGGGAGATGATTTGGACAGTAACAAAGTATTTCATGGCATCAAAGAGCAGAAGCGTAGCTTGGCCGCCAAGACACACAGCTGAGAAGGGGAACGCCCATGGAAACAGAGACCTCAGCTCTTTCCTGCTGTCTTCCTGGCTCCTTTCCTGTGGTCTTCTGCCTCTGCTTCACCCTGCATATCTGAGGAGGCTGTGCCACAGGGTGACTAGGCCCTAGGCACTCACTAGGATGCTCTGTCCTGGAATTGCAGGTTCCTAGTGCATTAAACCCACAGTCAAATCCCCAAATGTGAAGCACCGATGTGCCAGCCAAGGTTTTTCAAGGGATATGACTCTCAGAGTCAATGTTTTTCCAACTGAGGAGGTGGCTATACCACTGCCAGGAGATTAGGGAGGGGAAGAGCAATAAGATCAAATAGAAAGATGAAGGAGAAAGAGACAACTAGTTTTTATTTGTGCCTGGCCTGGAAAACACTTCTCTTTATTGCCACTCATTTCAGCCTTGATCTTCCTAAAAGGGCCTTTTCAATTCTCATTTCTTTGCAAGAAAACAGAAGCCCAGAGTTGGGGAGAGGACTTCCAGTCTCCCACCACTGTTCAGTGGCCAAGTAGAGCTGCTTCCACCTTCCTACTCTAGTGAGGGGTTGCAGAGTAAGCCACCAGTAGTGACCACACACTGTGCCCTTGCACCCCCAGGAGAATTGCACCTTAACCCTGGAAATTGTAAACTTGAGATATGACTTTTCCATAGTGGAATGTCAGACCTCACTGGTTGGTTTGATGGAAAGATGGTTTGGGAGTCAAGAGAGTGGATATAAAGGACCCAGGGCAGTTTCTAGTGCAGTCTCCACAAATGGAAAGTACATGTAAGTGTCCATGGCCCAAGGGGACAAGGATGCATAAAATTCAATGACATTAGGCCAGTTCTTCATTTGGTTTAGAACAGTGGTTCCCACCCTATGAGCTCTGGATCTTATATCTCAGAGCTATTATTAATACAAACGGCCCATGAGGCTATTTGCACATTAATCTATGCCTGTAGCCTTATATATCTTATTTCATATAAATGTTAACTACTACTTTTAATGCATACTGATGATGTTATGATTAAAAGATACAAATTTATTTCAAAACTTCCTCAAATGTATAGGAACTTTTAGTTATTAAGTAATTTTTCAAACTCTAGGAGTATGGTTCTAGAGTTCATGTAGAAATCCATGAACTATTCTAAGGGTCTTGGAAATTTTTGACATTAGAAAGGAATTCTTATAATCTCTCAAACACTGGGGTTCTTCTCAGATTTTCCTTTCATGAATGATTCGATGGACTTCAAAAGGCTGGAAGTAAATCCTTAAAGCTAACAAAAGCACAGAGGACACCTGTGATCGATTGCAAAAAAATTGCCACAATTCTTTGCAGCCTCTCCCATCGAGAAGTACTTCTTGACTTCGTGGTTTGATTTGGATAATAGAATGCAGAGAGTGTGACGTTATCCAAGTTCCAAGCCTGGGCTTCAAGAGTCTTTGCACGTTTCCAACTGCTCTCTTGGGATTCTACCACCACTGTAATTTAATAAAGTCTAGATTTGCCTGATGGAGGATGACAGACCACATGGAACAGAGTCGAGCCATCCCACAGAGCCATTTTAGACAACCAGCTCAGGCTCTGATTGTAGATGCATGGGAGCCCCCAACCAGAATCTACCAAGCAGAGCTCTGCCCAGATAATCCCAGCCCAAATTGCTGATCCACAGAATCATGAGGTAAACAAATAGTTGTTGTTTTGAGTCACATTTAAAATTTAAATTTTGAGAACCTCTGGCACAGCTTAGCCTGTACTTCTCCCCTGGGCATTTGTGACCACTCCTCACTGTATACATATCTTGCTGCCACCATGGGAAACTACTCAAGCAGGATCATTGTCAATCACAAAATGCCACAGATATCCAACCATACCAACAAAAGCTCTACAACACTCTGGAGAGCAGCTTGTAGGGCCCTGTCACAGCCAGGAACACTATATTCTTTTCTTTTCTTCTTCTTCTTCTTTTTTTTTTTTTTTTTCTGAGACAGAGTCTCACTCTGTAGCCCAGGCTGGAGTGCAGTGGTGCCATTTCAGCTCACTCCAACCTCCACCCCCCAAGTTCCAGGGATTCTCGTGCTTCAGCCTCCCAAGTAACTGGGATTACAGGCATGCACCACCACACCTAGCTAATTTTTATAATTTTAGTGGAGATGTGGTTTTGCCATGTTGGCCAGGCTGGTCTTGAACTCCCAATCTTGGGTGATCCACCTGCCTCGGCCTCCAAAATGCTGGGATTAAAGGCGTGAGCCACCGCGCCCAGCCAGAAACTGTATTCTTAAGGTTGGCTCACACTGACCCCTTAGGACAGAGCCTCCACATTTGCCAAGAAAGGGTCCCCTGGATTTTAGAATGAAGTTATGTGATTCATTGCACTTAATGTTGGATGTCTCCTGCCTGTTCACTGTCTGTGGGATCAAAGCTGCATTCAACTAGCCAGACCAGAGACTCTGCTTCAGAAAAGTCAGCATCGATCTCCTCCTCCCTCCGGTCCCATACATTTCACCTGGCCTTTCCTGTGAATGTGAGATTTTTTTTTTTTTAATTCTCTCATCCCTCTTTCTGGGATTTCCTTTGTGACCCATTTTGTCTAAGGTTGAGATTATACCCAGCCATTCCCAGGAACATACCTCAGATCTTCCCTCCATAGCAGACCTTAACTCCATAGAAGTTAAAGTCCCTAATGGAATTCTGAGCAAAGTAGCTGGGGTCACTGGACCATAGCAGGGGTGTTGGCTCCCCGGAGAGAGCTGAAGTCAAACAATACACATAAATTCTCTAGTCAATGCAGATCAGTGTTAGTTAGAACTCTGTGTCCCCCCAAAGACTGTTGACAGGCCAGATCCTCTCTACAGTCAGCTGTTGTGGGGCTAAGAACCAGAACACAGCCTTCCTGGGGCAAGGCCACTGTAGTTCTCAGCCTCAGGCCTGGGTCTTACTCTAGCGTCTTCTTGCCTAGATGCTCCGAATGCTTTCTTTTCTCCCACAAGGTCACCAGCCACCCAGCAAATCCCTGAGTCAAAAATCCACAACATTTAGGAAAAGTCTGTTGAAGAAGAAAATAAGAATTTAGATGAAGCTTGCTTTAATTCAAGACCAAAAAGTGTTCTGGGGGGCTCCAACCTCCCTCTGTGGGTCCCCTGCTTATTTCCTCCCACCCTGTCCACCCCAGCAGGGCCCAGTCCCCTTCTGACACAGGAATGGAGTGCCTTTTTGTAATTTTTTAATTTTCCCCCACCAAGGAAACCTGGCAAGCTAGCTCTGACCACTGTTCTCAGGACACAGAGCCTGGCAGTAGGACATAACCATTCTTGCCCAGCCCTTTGACCGTCCTGGTCAACAACTTCTAAATATTTGGATTGAGAGATATTTTAGTTATTCTCACAATAACATAGGCAGCCTACTCCCAGGAAGGAATGAGAGTTCATAGCCAAATGGAAAGAGTCCCTTGTGTTGTTGGGAATTTTACCATGTGAATCAGTTCAGCATTATATGGGCCTCCCAGTGGTCCTCCTAGGCTTTGCATATCTTTTCAGAACAGCTCTGTGCCCAGGCCTGTGCTAAATGCTGCCAGGCACAAGAGAAAAGAATTATCTTCATCTTCCTCATCACCTTGCCATCATCACCCCTGCAAACCTTACATAGCAATCACTACATGACAGGCAGAATCAAATATTAACTCATTTAAGCTCATAGCATCTTTATGAAGCAGAGATCATCAATATTCCCATTTCAAAGATGAGTAAGTTGAGGCACAAAGATTCAGTAACTGGCTCAAGGTGACCAGCTGCCAACTGGTGGAACTGGGGTTCAACTCTAGGTATTCATTTCTCTGCATCTCAAGACGACCTTGAGAAGTCAGTCTTAGATTCATGAGCAGCTGTGAGCCAACAGGACCAGGGGTGGGAGATGCTGAGGGAAAATCCACACCAGAAAAAACAGTTACTAAATAAGTGGCAAACAGAAAGTGTTAAATAAATAAAGGACAGTGTGCACTCTTAAGACTCAAGTTGGTCTTTTGAGAAACAACACAGGGATTAGCATCCTAATTGTAGTTTGTACAATAAAAATTGTCATTTTATTTAGTGATTAATGTTTACCAGACCCTTAGCAAAAGATTTACACACAAAATAGCACTTAATCCATATATAACCCTCACGACAACAGCACAAATTTGTTCTAACTTGAATAAAGTCTGGTTTTCTGAGGCCTCTCGTAAAAGGCCTCAGGAAAGAAACCTTGGTCTGGCTGCCAAAGTAATAGGAGAATAACATTAATCAGCATTGCAGTCCCTCGAGGAAATACCTAAGTGGTGTCACCATCCTAACACGTAGAAAATCTTTTAGAAATCATCTTCTTCTATTTCCCTCTATTATTGTGTCTCACATCTTGGCAGATGCCCCCAAATCCTCTCTCTTGCCTCATCCCTAGTGGCAAGAAGAGTGCCTCCAACTGAGCCTGTCTTGGCTCCTTCTCCCATCCACCTTCCCCCTCTGGCTTTGTCCTTGTTCTTCAGCCGTTTGTAATAGAAATCCTCTGAGCCTCCACGTTTTGCCCTCACCCACACTCCCCAGTCTGGATAATAAAGACCCCAGAACTATCAGCAAAACACAGACGCTTCTCAGCCAGGAAGGGCAGGACATGGGGAGGCATCTGATGGTGGTATGCACTAAGCTTTTGATAGTTCTGGGACCATTATAAATAAATTCTCAATGATAATTTTCAGATCAGGAAACTGAGGCTCAGAAAAACTCATTAGCTCTTCTTTTTTTTTTTTTTTTTGTTTTTGAGACGGAGTCTCGCTCTGTCGCCCAGGCTGGAGTGCAGTGGCGGGATCTCGGCTCACTGCAAGCTCCGCCTCCTGGGTTCACGCCATTCTCCTGCCTCAGCCTCCCAAGTAGCTGGGACTACAGGCGCCCGCCACTACGCCCGGCTAATTTTTTGTATTTTTAGTAGAGACGGGGTTTCACCGTTTTAGTCGGGATGGTCTCGATCTCCTGACCTCGTGATCCGCCCGCCTCGGCCTCCCAAAGTGCTGGGATTACAGGCGTGAGCCACCGCGCCCGGCCTAGCTCTTCTAAAACAAACAAAAAAAATGGATTTGAACCTAGGTCGTTTGCAAATAAATTATAAAAAGCTGCAAATAACTGCGGCCTATCCCCATGATATTAGTTCACATGACCAACACTAGATTTGTGAAATGAGCTCCTCCCACTGCCCTTCCCTGGGTGATCCACAAAATGACCTTTCCCATTTTCAATCTTTGGCCTCTGGGGTATATTTGTAGACACAGATATACACCTGAGGCATACATACAGACCTGTACACACACACTCACTGTGATACACACTTACGCACAAAAAGCACACTCACCCAGCCTTGCCTAGTTGCGTGGGTGAAACCTCAGGATGCTTCTACACTGGCAAAGGAGTGCTGGTTCGTTGAAATGGTTCCTGAGAATCCGGCATTTCTGCATTTAGTCTTCTCAGCTAACTTGCAAGAAAATAAATCCTGTTCACCAGTACAGAGATAACCTTAGGTAATGTCTGCGCCACAGGGAAGCAGGCAGCTGACTATCTTTCAGTTACCAGGGCCAGTGCAAACAGGCCAAGCAGCTAAGCCAGGTCCTGTCACCCACTGGGAGAAGAGAAGGGAGAGTGGGGTTTGCCTCTTGCAGGAAGTGATGTTTTCTTTACATTTCATAATAAATGAACACTTTGTATGTTTCCACTTGTAACAGAGCACTATTTTGAAAAATAACAATTTAAAACTATTTTTATTCTTTTGCATTTTCCTGTACATGATCTATTTCTTAGCCAACTAAGGCATGTATTTGTTGGGTGGGATGGGGTCAGGGTGCCTAGCATTGCTAGAACAGGAATGCATAGAGGGTTAATATTCAGCTCATATTATTGAAATACGATTTCACAGTAAAATAATCAGCCTGAAAGCAAGGCATTGACAAGAGAGAAAGGATGTGCTAAATCACTTTAGCTTCTATTCAACATATTAACAACCAATCAGTCAAGCAGCCAGCAATATTTATTAAGCCCCTTCTCTGTACTATTCCAAAAGAAGAGTCTTATTCTCAAAAAACTTAAGGGAGAAAGACAAACCACAAACAATCAAAAGTAAGATAATCTTAGCTATCGACAAATGCTATGAGGAAGATAAAATTGGGTCATGTGGTAGGTGTGTATGTTTCAGAGAAACAGGCAGAAGGGGCTGATTAATATAGGAAGGTCAGAAAGACTCATTGACAGGGCGATGTTTGACCTGGGACCAGAGTTATAAGACAGAAACCAGGCAAAGGCCTGGAGGACAGTGTTCCAGGCAGAAGTAGCAGCAAGTGCAAAGGCCTGGAGACAGGAAGAAGTTTGGGCAATTAGAGAGGAGAAGAAGGACCGGTGCTGCTGGAATATTGTGAATGAGCAGAATGGAGAAGTAGAAAACAGAAGTTGATGGGGGTGGGTCCTGTAAGGCCTTGTACCCAGCAAATAATTTCAGTTGTATTAGTATTGCAAGAGAAAGCTTTATTCCTTCAAGCATGGGAATGACACAATCTAATTTACACTTCAGAAGACCAAGAGTTTGAGACCAGCCTGGGCAACACAGTGAGACCCCATTTCGACGGAAACATTAAAATAAAAATTAGCTGGACATGGTGGTGCATGCCTGTAGTCCCAGCTACTTGGGGGGCTGAGGAAGATCACTTGAGCCCAGGAGTTCAAGGCTGCAGTGAGCTATGATCACCCCACTGCACTCCAGCCTGGGTGACAGAGCGAGACCCCATCTTAAAATAAAATGAAATAAAATAAAAAATTAGAAAGAAAAATCACCCTGGCTACTGTGTTGGGAAAATAAGTTCCATGGCAGTTGCTCGGTACTATTGAGCTTTTGGGCCAGTTAATTCTCTGTTGTGACGGGCTGTCCCTGTCCTGCCCATTGCAGAATTTTCAGCAGCGTCCCTGGCTTCTATCCATTAGATGTCAATTGCCTTTCTCCCCCTTTTCTTCAGTAGTGACAGCCAAAAATGTTTCCAGACATTGCCAAATGGTTCTTGGGGGGCAAAATGCTCCTGGATGAGAACCTCTGCTCTATGGGGACAAAAGAAGAAGTAGGAATCCCAGTTAAAAGGCCACAGCTGTGGTCCAAGTGACAGAGGTGGTAGCTTGGAATAAGATGCTAACTGTGAGTATGGTGAGAAGTGTTCTGGACTCACGATATGTTTTGAAGTTAGAGCCAATGGGATGTGCTGATGAACTGGATGTGAGATGTGAAAGAAAGAGAGGAGTTAAGGATGATTCTTCAGTTTTTGGCCTGAGCAACTAAGTAGATGACAATGCCATTCACCAAGGTTGAAAAATGCCTGGAGCAGAGGGAGGCTATGGGGTTGCAGGGACAGCAAAGCAAAGTAGTCTGATTTGGTGATGTTGAGGTTGCAGTTCCTATTAGACATCAAGTGGAAAGGTTGAGAAGGCAATTAGATGTTCAAATCTGGATTTCTGAGTAGAGATTTAGGCAGGGGATAAGTATAAATGTAAAAGAGTGATCTACACATCCATTGAAAAAACAGATCATGCAACTTTTTTTGTAACATAAATAGGCTGCGAGACTTGCTGCCCATTTCAGGGGGAGAATTTACGTGGAGGAAAATAAATGCCAGAAATCCATCCGCCTTGTCCAGAAGGACCAGAGACAGAAGGAGGAGTATGCAGAAAAATCCGGGGCTGAGATTGGCAGGTTCTAATATGTTGGAAATTTGGAGAGAAAGGCCAAAAAGAAGAGGCTTTTGCCTTATTTCCCATTGCAAATTCTGGATTAAGTTCCTTGCAGTCTACTGGGTCACCAACATGGTGGCAACTGTATCAAATTCAATCTATCTTGTGCTGTGTGCTAGCGCTAAGGGAAGCCCAGAAATGTGGGTTATCTTCTCTGAGCCTCCATGTTTCCTTGTAGCATGTCTGGGACCGAGACTTTCTTGCAGGCCTTCACGGGGGGATTCTATGGCAACCGAGTTGGGAGCCAGAGAGTCTGTGTGGGCCACATGGCAAGTGGCACAGTGACCCTGCAGCAGTAACCACACAGGTGGACCTCTTAGGTTGGAGCTGGATGAGGAAGGCAGCAGACCCTGAGTCAGACAGGGAGGACAACCAGGAAAAGAGAGGTAAAAATTGCAAGCTTTGCCAACTGCTGGCCTCGGCCACCAAAGCGAGCTAGGCAAGCAGTGGCCAGGCTAAGGGACACTGCCTTGGAAACCGAAGCTCACCAATGCCTCATGTTCCTCCCTCCTCACACACCAAAATGCCATGTGGGGTAAGATAAAGGGCAAGGGAGGAGGGCTGAAGGACAGGGCATTTAGCTAAAGAAAGTCTTCAATAAAGGAATCAATTTGGAATTATTGAACTGAACCAAACTTTAGTTTTGTTTTGCCCCATTACCCAGTGAGTAGGAGTTCATGTGGAATATCAGATCAGTTTTAGGAAAATAAAGAAAGAACCATGCCTTTTTTCAGTGTGGTTAGCATGGATAAACTTATTGTTGCATGACACATTAGTCAAATGTCCAATCCAGTGCTGTTTAGCAAAAAACAATTTTTTTTTTTTTGAGACACGATCTCGCTCTGACACCCAGGCTGGAGTGCAGTGGCGTGATCTCGGCTCACTGCAACCTCTGCCTCACAGGTTCAAGCGACTCTCATATCTCATCCTCCCAAGTAGCTGGGACTACAGGCACAAGCCACCATGCCCGGCTAAATTTTGTATTTTTAGTAGAGATGGGATTTCACCATGTTGGCCAGACTGGTCTTGAACTCCTGACTTCAGGTGATCCACACAACTCAGCCTCCCAAAGTGCTTGGATTACAGGTGTGAGCCACCGCACCTGGCCAACAAACAATTTTTGAGTGCCGCCTGTCACATGTTCTGTGTTCGCTGAGGAATTAATGGGCTTCCCATCATTTAGCAGGAGCCCATCATTCAGAAGCATGAAAGACACCCACCTTGGTATTAGAGTGTTGTTCAGGACAGTCCAGGGAGGAGTGCCAGGCTATGGGGCACACCTGTGGCTGAGTGTCCCTGCACCCCAAAGCTCTCTGAAAGGGGCAATGCACATGAAAAACTTCACGTCCCCAAAATATGAGGTTCAAGTGGAAAAAATTGTCACCATGAGCCTGTATCACTTTTTAAATAAGAAACACAAATACACAAAATGATAGAGCCACAGATTCCAAGAGTGATGAAACTGGAAGAGATTTTGGCACTTTCTGCTCTTGTCCCTCATTTAACTGACGGGCGCACTGAAGCACAGCAAAGAAACCTGATGCCTTCTTGTTCACACAACAAACCACAGGTGGAGCTGGGACTTGAAACAGCGCACCGCTCCTCAGCAATGGGCAGAAATAAGTCAATTTTAAGGAGATACTGCAAAACTAACTGAAGCACACAGATGTTAAGGAGATAAACTTTAAATAGAAGAACCTCTTTTTGGTTCTCTGGGGCTGGGACTAAGTTGAAGACACATGGTCTAGGAAGATGTGATCAGAGGGGCTGAGCACCCCGCTGCCACTCAGAATTATGGGACCATTCACAGAGGCGTTCTGCTCCCAAAGAGGCAGAAGTGCCTTCTGTGCCCTCATGGCTCTTTCCCCAGCAGCATTAGCCTGGCTGGATTCACTGGAGGAGGGCAGGGTATAAATGGAACTAATACTTGGAATGCTAGCTCCCTTAAGCTGCAAACTATAAAATGTGTACTACCTAATTATTTTGACTTAGGACTTTTTGTTCTTATTCTGCTGAGATACCTTCTCTGTTCATAATGTGGGACCAACCTGCAGTTACATGTCAACAGGTACAATCTTGCAAAGAATCAAAAAACCAGAGCCCTGGTTGCTTCCTTGACTCTAATACTAACTTGCTCTAGAACCTTTGCAGTGTTCTTTAACCTACCTGGATCTTTCTTTCTAGGCAATGAAGGTATTAAACCTCACACTCTCCACTAGACTTCCAGCTCTGCAAACCTGGGCTTTGATGAATGATGCAAGAGCTGGCATCCCACCTACCCTGTCTTAACTGTAGAGACAGCAGACAGGACAACAAAACCAGCTGCCCCCACTCTTGGACTTAATTCTTTGGCCTTCAGGAAATCTTGGCTCTCGCTTCTCTCCTCAATGTCATTCATAGCCCTTCAGTGTTGGCCTTGTGGGCTGGGAGCGGTAAGGAATGGTAAGCCAGGAAGACTTGAGAACATTTTCCCTGGCGGTCAGGAAAGCACATCAAAAAGGACGCTGTTTTCCTTCTTTTCTTTCCTCTGTGCTTCCTTAAAACTGAAGTGAATGACATCACAACAACACAAAGTTGCCAAGACATACTCTACAAAAATGTCCTCACATGGTTACATTTTCTGCAAATTACAGCATTTGGAGTATAAATCAGAGTAATTGTTTAAATCAGAGTGACTGTTGAAACAGATTTCCAGTGATCAAATCAAAAACGCAATCATTCTTGCGGTTCCTCCGGTGCTTGGAGCCCCACGTACTTCTGAAACTGTCGGTTGTCAGTTACAAGGAGTGTTTACATTAACATACTGCCCGAACAGAGAAAATATATATTTTAAGAAGAAAATGTGAATCCAGGGTTACAAGAATGTTTCTGAAACAGCTAAGTCATCTTGTTTCAAGTAAAACCAGATGTTTGCATCAAGAGAAAGCCAATCATTTCTTTTAATTATGCTCAATGGCCAGGCCACCAAGAATACCCACATGTGTACACATAAGCCGGTGGAAATCAAAGGCTTTGTGACAGAGAAAGCAATCAGCAACTTCCAGACCACCAAATGGCATCCCAGCACCAGCTCTGGGCACTGTTTGAGCTCCTTCTCTAGGAGAGCACTCGGTGAGATGAGACTTGCTTCCCCCAGCGCCAACATCTCATGTCCCACCTCTGTCCCTAAAGAGTCCAGCACAAGGCCAGGGGTGAATTCCCTAGTCAAGATTCAAGATTCAGGGTGAGGGTCAACAGAAAAGGAACCTGGACAGTTAAGCTGTCTTCTTAAATGCCTTCCCAGGCCACTTCTCTATCAGGAAAGCCTCAGAAATATCTTAATGCTGAAAGAGGTGCAGTGGGGGCTCATGCTCTAGCCTGCATACCCAGATGGTAGAGGAGCCTGAGTTCATGGGAAACTTACCTGCTAGCTTGGCCTACACTCTGAAGCACTG
This sequence comes from Homo sapiens, assembly GCF_000001405.40. NCBI lineage: Eukaryota > Metazoa > Chordata > Mammalia > Primates > Hominidae > Homo > Homo sapiens. The sequence continues at coordinate 20,965,496 of NC_000002.12, read as the reverse complement.
TGGGGGTTTGATGGCACTGGTGGGAAGTCACACTCCGGCAGGTGGGCAGAGGGGATGGCGTTGGGGATGTCCACTTCCCTCTGATGGCTGCTGGGCTCAAGTCAGGGAAAAAGCCCACTTTCCAGTGTGGAGACTCCAAGCACAGTCATCATTGCCTGCTACGGTCTTCACTGGTGGAGCACAGAGACTTGGCACTAGAAAGACTCCGTTGTCAAAACGTTCCCTGTGAAAAGAAGAGAGTGGCCATGGCCCCAAAGCTTCCTCCCTGTACAACCACAGTGCCTGAGCTTTCCCTAGGTGGTAGTTTTGAATATTTGTTCCAAAAATCACTGCAGAATTATACTGCAGTGTTTCTCCTAATAGTAGTGCAAAAACTTAACACACACTTTGAGTCTGTTCCCCGAACCACGTTGTTTAAGCACGAGCTTCACAGTTTTTACTATCTACTATTATTGGTTTTAAGTTAAAATGCCTTCTTTTCTTGTCTTTTCTATTTTGTTTTGTATTATTTTTACTTAGATTATTTAGTCTTTTCCTAAGAAAAATTATTCATGAAATCACAGGTAAGGTATGCTAATTGTATATATTTGTAATATGTGTTAAATACATAAGCATTAAAATAAAAATATTTATCTATGTTTTGGCTAAAATCATTTCACAAAACACTATCAGTACTTGTCCATGGTTTTGGGAAATGCCACTTGAAGATATTTTGTAGAATTATAGCATTTCTTTCAAACCTTTCATCAGATTCCTTTAAATGACACAGCAATAAGCGATTTTCAAGGCAGTAACACTGATCCATGGCTCTGGGAGCACTGGAGCCAGCTCTCAGCATATTGATTGGCATCGGGGGGGAAGTAAGCCCCTGCTTTGTTCTGCCTCATTATAAACAGTGGCCATTTCCTATCAAGAGAATAAGGGAGGGACATCTTCTCCAGGATGCATTGTGAGGGTTGTAGACAAGTACTCAGATATGCATGTAATGTTTCCTCCCTGTCTTCATTTGTGCCCCCAAATTTCCATGATTATTTCTGTTTTTCTCAAAATGGTTCCAGCATAGGAAGTTTTCAAGGAAAGTGAATCCTGTATCATTATTAAACTAAGAGCTCTGCTTTGAACTTAGCCCAGAAGTCAGACCCACGTCTGTGGAGCAGGCATTTGCTAATCACTTCTTGGCTGCGGTTGACTGGTAATGTCCTCAAAACCAAACCATCATGGGGATTCTTGAAGTCAGAAGGGAAGCAAGTTGTTTAAAAATAAAACACTCCCTACTTTGGGCCCCCAACTCTATAAGATAGCAGCTTAACAGTCTAAATGATTGTTTTGAAATGTGCTTTGACTCCAGTTTTGCTAAATGTTTACTTGGGTCTTTCAACCTCATTGATTAAATATCCTGACTTGATTCCAGGCCAACCAATCCTACCATGTAACAGTGGAGTTCCCTTGCCCGATGTGCTTCATGCATGGTGCACTGTACACTGTTACTTCATAGCTCGGAAACTTCATCTGAAGGGCCATTTCTGAGACTCTACTCATTCATTCATCCATTCAACCTTTTAACACACAATTATTAAGCACCTATTAAATGCAATGGTCCAAGATAATTTGCTATGGGAGATTTGAAGATGCATTGACCATGAATATGAAACCTCTAACCTTGGAGAGACTTCAGGTCCATATTTCTGCAGACAATTGACCTTTATCAATCCCAGGACAATGCTAAGGGACATTCAGTCCCCCTTTGATTTACTAGAAATAAATCTCAGAACAATGCAACATGCTCTTTAAGTAAGAGTTTTTTTTTTTTTTTTAAATCACTTATCTTGCCTCTTGCAAGAGGTTGAGTCAAATGCTGAAGGGAATTTAACTAGAGTCTTAATTGGAAATGCAAAGAGTTGCTGATACCATCAAAAAAGGAAGAAGCTGAGGGAAGTGACAAGACAAGCTCTTCTTTCTAAACATCTGGTCCCACTCTCTCAACAGCTTCATAAAACACTGTTCAGAGCCGGCAGATGCATCAAGAGTACCTGGCATACAGCTACGTACCCTGAAGCAGGTGGACCTCATCAAACTTTGGCTACAAAGTAGTTCCCTATTAGCTTGCCCTTTGATTTACATTCTCGCATGAGAGTATCTCCAGGCAACGCATTTGAACAGCAGAGGCCTTTGCAGAAAACTCACAACACATGTGAGTTTTTTTTTAACATGTGGGATGCTACTCCACCTGGGGGTAAGGCTCACCTTTTGAGAACAAGAAGAGGGGAAAATCTGGACAGCCACAAGCCAGTCAACAAACCCAAATTGGATGCCGTGGCTGCAGTGAAGTATAGAGCTCACCACCAGAGGGCAGCAGTGCACACAGACACAATGTAACCTCCACATTGGAGGAGAAAACAGGTGGAAGAGGAATTAGCAATGTGCCCAAGGCTCACAGTAAGTACACACAGATGGAGGCTCAGAGCCCTGGCCTCTTACTCCCAGCCAGTCCTCCTCCACTTGCCCCCAAGGTCTCAGGAAGAGGTCATTGTGGATGGTTAGGCATCTTTATTTTACAATTGAAGTTGCCTGGTCAGACCTTAGCATCTCCTCCCAGGGAGCATGAGAGCCCTCAGCAATTCTGAGATGCTGGATGCTCTAACTTTTTTGACCTTGACCCATGGTAAGAAATACATTTAACGTTGCAAGCCACTTTTAGTATACTGTCTATCATGTGCAAAACAGCAGCACATTTTTACAAAGCAATACCCTTATTTCTCAATTCTGTCTCTTTTTTTTAATGCTAGACAGGTCTTCATCCACTACTCATATCACACTCTACTAATTGGTCACCAGTGCTGATTCAAAGGGTGGCATGGAGAGTGGCCCTTCAAAGAAAGTAGGCTGCCCCAGTCCTCTGCTCTGTTATCCCTGGATGCTACAGGCCCTGCAAGAGCTTAGGAGGGGTCTAGGGAGCTGAGCTCCTCCCATCTAAGAGGGAGAATCATGGCCCAGGGAAAGTACCATAGATAACCTTAACGGATAATTTAGCTTCATTTTGCCTATGTCATTCCTTCATTCATTCCCTCAGCAAACATTAACTCACCACTGAGAGTTTAGTCCTGTCCTTAGCCAGCCCCTGCCAGGAGGTGGTGACATGTGGTTTTAAACATCCACAGCCTTCTCCCGCAGCCTACAGGTCCCAAGACCTCTGTGGGTCCTGATCCTGAAGTTTGTGTGAAGGAGAAGATGGGAAGAGTGAATGGGGAACAATCTGAGGCAAGAGGACCAGAAGATGCTCATGGCTCAGGGGCTGGACCAGGCAGAAGCTGCAAGGGGAATTTTCTGACTAGAGGCTGGAATCTCAACACATGGGCTCAGAAACAGAGGCTCCATGACGCTTCCTCCTGCCGCCAACCCATGCACCTCCCGACTCAGAAGCAACCCCCCCGCCATGGGGCACAGCTCATAGATCTATTCTTAACGTCTTTCCTGAGACTCTGCCAAGTATTTCACTTGCTCAATTTCATTCCCTTGCTCCCTGCATGTTATTTTATGAAGAAACTCAAACGAGGAGACATCTATCAATTATCAACCCCCAAGTGATCCTAAAGCCCTGCTTAAATGCAAGGGCGAGATTTTAAATCTAATTCCCTGATGTCTGGGGTGAATTCCTGGTGAGGTCCCACAACTAAACAGAGAGCTTCCTGCCTCAATTCTGGAATTCATCTCTGCTAAGGGAAGAAAATGCATGACAATAAAAATCTGCCAAGCCCTAAAGCTAGGGCTCTGTCCTGAGGATGCTAGCTCAGCCCTCTAGCTTGGCACTGTTCTCTCATCTCCCATCTGCAACTGTAGCCCAGAAGACAAAAATGACTCAGAAGAGAACTGGTTCATTGCAAGTGATATTTATTGGGTGTCTACAGGTTGCAAAGCAGTGAATTTAGCATCAAGGAAAATAAGAAGATGAGTTATACCCAATTACTTCTTCAAGTTTTTCCACAGTTGGGTAGAGGAGGTAAGATAAGCCTTGGCTTGAGTAGCAGCCCTCTGAGAACCCATCCCTCTCTCACCCAGGGTACTGGGCCCTTTTTTGACCATGCTTCTTCCCTGAACCTGTTCTTCGCTTACCACATGAGATTGTATTTGTTGGCTCACCTGTCTGCTACTCAAGTAGAATGCCATTTCCTTATGAGCGGTTTGGAGTGATGCTCAGCTACTGGCTTCAAAAAAGAAGGAAGGGGCCGGGGCCCCAGGAATACAGGCACTTGAAGGTGAAAAAGGGAAGGGAATGAATTCATCCCTGTATTAGCTTGTTCTCGCATTGCTGTAAAGAACTACCTGAGACTGGGTGATTTATAAAGAAAAGAGCTTCAATTGATTCACAGTTCCTCAGGCTGCACAGGAAGCATGGCTGGGGAGGCCTCAGGAAACTTACAATCATGGCGTAAAGTGAAGGGGAAACAGGCACATCTTACACAGCCAGAGAAGAAGCAAGAGAGATCGAGGTGCAAGGTGGCTACACACTTTTAAACAACCAGATCTTGTAAGAACTCACTCACTATCACAAGAACAGCAAGGGGGAAGTCTGCCCCCATGGCCCAATCACCTCGCACCAGGCCCCTTCTGCAACATTGAGAATTACAGTTCAATGTGAGATTTGGGTGGTGACACAGACAGTTCAATGTGAGATTTGGGTGGTGACACAGACAGTTCAATGTGAGATTTGGGTGGGGACACAGAGTTGAATTACATCAGTCCTAGAAAGGAATACAGCCTTGCCAACACCTTACTTTTAGCCCAGTGAAGCCCATGTCAAACTTCTACAGAACTGTAAGATCCATGTGTGTTTTTTGAAGCCAGCAAATTGTGGTGACTTGTTATAGCAGCGATGGGAAGCTAAGACAGATTTTGGTCATTTTCTTTGAAACAAGTACTCGTGATTCTCTTCTGTGCTTCAGGGGAGACATCACCAGGTGAGACAAAGGTGACCTTCTCTTGGAAAACCAAGGCCATAGGAAGAATTGTCTGGTTCTGTCCTAGCTGGGAAGGAATTGGAAGCTGGTTCTTTAAGGGACAAAGAGAAGAGGTCTGCCTCCAGGGAGTGGGATCCTGAGGCTGGAGGGTGGAAGGGGTCCCTATCCCATTTGCACACAGAGTTGGAGAGCAGTTGGACCTGCCAGAGGTGCCACGGAGATGTGGCTAGGAGCATCAGGGCTGAGCCTACCCTGGAAGTACCCCTTGCAGAGCTCGGCAGAGTAGGAACAAGGCTGACAGTGGAGCCAGCTGCCTTCTAATGAACCACATGGCCTGGGCAAGAAACCACAGCTGTGCACCATTCACATCTGCAGCTGTGGCCTCTTCCACACTTCTCCTGAATCACAAAGCCCTGAGGTTCTCATATGACAGTGAGGGACAGGGAGCCGCGAAAAGCAACAGATATTAGACATCAACTGTGGTAAAAAGAGTCCTTCTACTAGATTTAGTAGTGCTGTAGAAAAACAAAGAATTACTACCTTTTTGTAGGGGGATGGGGAATGTACACCTGATACATAGTGCCCTCTGATCATCACAGGTGTGAAGTCCTGGCTGAGCAGTGCCAAGCTGAGCCCAGGAGTGATGGTAGGTACAGGGGTGCTGTGCCTCCGGGGTGTCCGGAACCTGCAATGCTGCTGCTCATACCCACACTTGCCTTTCTCCAAACACCAGCCCAGGGCACATCATCGAAGACTCTGAATAAATAAAGCAGAGCAGAGAGTGGAACTCAGTTCTGACTCTGAGCCCTGATTGAGCTTCCGTCATTCTAGAGCTGTGCCTTCTCCAGGGTTGTAAGCAGCATCAGGGTGCCAGGGAGGCCTGTCGGTCAGCAGCCCTAGCTGGCCCTGCCCACATGCCCATCACACCAGGCCATTCTGCTGTTCTGGTGCCACTCTCACCCCTAGGGAAGCCCAGTGCGCGGTCCCCACCTCCTCTGCATGTTGGCTACCTTCTCAGGATGCTGTCTCATGGGTATGTGGGCATCCGCTGCTGCTCACAGAACCCTCGGACCATCCTCCTGCCCCACCCACTGCCAGAAATCTTTTTTTGGATTAAAGGAGAAGGAAGATGGGAAGTCCCTCTGTCTTCATGTTTCTTCCAAAATCTGTCTCCTTCTCTCTCATTTTCTTTCTCTCCTCAAACCTTCCAGACAACCAGCACTATCTTTTCAATAGTTTCAGACTCTTTGGGAATAAAATCCAGGAAGGAAAGTGTATCTTGCAGCAACTTTTGTTTTTAAGCTAACCACAAACACCCCCTGAGATAAGGATGCCCAGGGCCTCTAACTGCTTGAAAAAGGATGGGAAACTGGGAAAATACAGGGAAAGGTAAAAACACCAAATCATATGTTGAAAAAGTTACCCTGACACAATAAAAATAATAGCTGTAATTTCTGCACCCACTTTTTAAATAAATCTTTCTTGAGTGCCCTCTCTCTGCCAGCATCATAGGGTGCCCCAATGCAGTGTTCCTGCTCTGGCAGTCTTTCCTGCTAGGACCGGGAGCCAGACAGCACGCATAGCCAGACAGCACACATAAACAAGAAATAAGAAAACATCCCACCATGGAAAGGGAATAGAGGGCGCTCTGATGGACCAGAACTGGCCACTGCATTTAGAGGGGGCATCACACCCCTCTGGCGTTTAAGCTGAAACCTGAATGGGAGGAAGGACACATAGATAGACCCTGCGCTGAACACCTGTGATTGTCTTGCTCATGTATCCTCCCAGCCTACCTGCAGAATCTACATCCTTATCTCCATTTTGCAGATGACGAAACTAAGGTTCATAGAGATGAAGTTTCTTACCTTAGATAATACAGCTGACCACAAAAGAGCAAGAACCGGACCTGGGGTCTGTCTAGCTCTGAAGCCACAATCCCTTTGAAAATACTAGGAGGGGGAGGGGGATCAGTTGCATCCCTCTTGGAATTTTCCCAAATGTTCTAAACAGAAATTGTTTTTTTCCCACCAGGTGCTGACATTTCAATCTTTCCTCCCTAGTCCACTGGAAAAGGCAGCCGTCCCCCATGTGAGAGGATAAAGTTGTCCAACAGCCCCCGGCTGGGCCTGCTCTGGCTCTGGCTGGCCACCGGCCCACCCTCCGCAGCTCTGCCCTGTGGGCTGGCCGGGTGGGGAGAGAACTCCACAGGCCAGATGGGCTGAGCGGAGCCCAAGGTGGCTGGCTGTGGGTATTCAAGCCTATTTTTATTCACAAAAATCTGTTCTGGATTTTATTCCGCTTTGGGGCAAGGAGAGGTCAACTCTCTTCACCTTTGCTGTAAGATGAGAATACGGCAGGAAATGAAGTGACAGGGAAGCCAACTGGGAAGAGGGAGAAAGGGCAAATTACTGGGAAATTAGAAACCTGTGTTCAGATCAGAGGGGAGGGTGTCAACGCTCCCGCTCCCACCGGGGCCCTTCTTCCCGAGGCCAGGGATGCAGAGACGCTTGACAAACCCCATGTGAGGGGACGGGTGCCACTCAGGTGCTGGCGGCACAACACACACACTGACCCAGCCCAGGCCTCCAGAAGGAGGTTCCAGCTTCGATCTGGTGCTCGGTCGCCTGCGCCTCCCAGCTCCAGTGGGGTTGCCGGAAGAAACTTCCCTAGAGAACAGAGCCAGGAGCCCCATATTGCTGGCGGACTGCCTGTCTCCATGTGCAAGGCCCAGAGTTCCTGTGTGTTCAGGTCAAACATACGTGCAGTTACATGGAAACTCAGATAAGGCAGCTCTCTGCTCCTCGCTGTCACCGAGAAGTGACTTCACCTCTTCTGTACCCTTCAAGGCCCATCTCAGAAGCTCCCCCCTCCACAGCTCCCTGAGCCAGTGTGGAGACTGCACTCTGGGTCCTGGCATCACAAAAGCTGGAAGATACCAGGCAGGCACGAGGCACTGCAGAGGCATAGTTTTAATGGCGTCCAGAACATAATTATTGAGCACCTCTTCAGTGGCAGGCACCATGCCAGGAACTGAGACATAGATGAGTTCTGCCTCAAGAAATCCAACAGTGTGGTGGCAGGAGTCACTGTGCACAATTCCACATAACAGAGGGCAGTGGGAAACGCGTGAGCTGACCTTCCGCAGGCACAGAGAGGGACTCCCTTCAGCTGAACAGACCAGGGAGAGCTCGTTGGATGACGAGGCATTTGAGTGAGGCCTTAAAAGACAGGTGGAATTATATTTTATTTTATGTTGGTTTTGCTTGGTTTTTGCAAAGAGAAATATGGTGGCAGAGCACAGCATCCCAGGAGGAAGGGAGCATAAGCATATTATGGGATGGAACACTTTGGGTTCTAGGGTACCCCTGTGGGGCAGTGGGTGGCACAGGGGCTCAATCAGCACTGGCTGCCATCACAGAGTACTGCAGACTGGGGGGTTTAAACAACAGAAACTTCCAGTTTTGAAGTCTGGAAGCCCAAGATCAAGGTCTTGCAGAGCTGGTTCCTCTGTCCTTGGCTTGCAGATTGACACCTTCTTCTGCATCCTCCCATGGTCTTTCCTCAGTGTACATGCATATCTCTTGCCTCATTTTTTGTCCTAACTGGCTCTTCTTATAAGGACATCAATCATATTGGATTAGAGCCCACCCTAACGGCCTCATTTTAACTTAATCACCTCTTTAAAGGCCCTGTCTCCAAATACAGTCACATTCTGGTGGACTAGGGGCTTCAACATGTGAATTTAGGAAGACACAATTCAGTCCATGACACACAGCATGCCCAAGGAAGGGAATCCATGGGGCATAGGAAGGAGGAGCAATGCAGGGGGTGAGATGGGGAGAACCTTAGATTGAGACCAGATTTTATAATCTATTGAATGCAAGACCACTTTGGCTTTTATGCTATGGGTTACTGTTACCAAACTATGCCCCATACTCTGCCATATGCAATAGGAGTTAAGAGAAGAAAAGACAGGGCGCTAGTGTCCCATGGTCAAGCTTGGGAAACCCATTCTGCCCCTGCAGGCTCCACAGAGCCCTTGGGTTGCATCCTCAAGAGGGAATCACACCCACTGAAGCCAACTGTTAAGGAACATCTCATGGGACAAACATCCCTTAGCATTTACTCCAGGAAACACTGTTGAAGCTAACGGGGACCCTGTAATGATTTTTGAATGAGGAGCAATACAATCAAATCTTTATGTGTCAGGTGATGGCACTGGAGTTGGTGCCCTGACAGAGAAGTTTAGACAGCAGCTTCTGGGCAAGAGTACGTTTCAGCAGGCCAGGCCTCCAGACACAGGGTAGCCTGGTGCCTGAGCAGAGCTCGCTAGAATCCAGGGAAGCCCCTCTGCTGCCTCACCAACTCTCTTCCATTCAGCAGCTATGAATGAGGCCCCTATTGCACGCAGGCACTCTGGCCTGCCCGGCCTGCCAGTCCCCCAGCCTGGACAGCTCTGGCTGGTGCCAACCTCCTCGTTCCTCAATGTGTCTCTGGGCAGGTTTATGGTTCCAGTGAATGAGGGAGCTCCAAGGAGTGGAACAGCAGCAGCAGTCCGGGATTGGTGCCCAGGATGCCCTCTCCTGCTCTTTAAGCGTATGCCAAGTCCAAAGCAAAGACCTAGGATGCTTAGGAGGGGGACTAACGCACTCCCAGTGCCTCAAGGCTGATCTGAGGCCCTGTTGCTCTGACTCAATCACTTTACCCAAATGCAGTCCTTCCTGAGATAAAGACCTCTGTTGTCCAGTTCCAGGGGCCCAAGCCCAGCCAGGCCATGAGGACACATCCCTAGAGGCAGTCATTCTCAGGCATCTGCAAGATTCAGAATCAGCTGAAGGCCCAGGACATATCACTAGTGCTGATTTTGGACAAATGGAACCCAGGGATCAGACCTGTGTGGCCCTACAGCCAGCAGAGGAAGGGTTAACCACCACAGTAGCCTCAGACACTCAGGCTGACCTGCCTGTCCAAAGTCTTCCCCACAACTGCCTTTCCAACTCGCAGCCTCCCTTGAATCCCCCAGTGATCAACCAATCAGAAGATGGAGTCCTGTGGTAAAGGAACAAGGGCTTAACGGGGGTGAGTGGGGTGCAGAGGTCTGAGCAGGGAGGTGAGAGCCCTGCCGCTGGGCACCTGCCTGTTGGTAACAGGCCCGGGAGGGCTGTTGGGCTGCGTGCAGCCTCTCAACTGGACTTCCCCAGAGCTGCCGGCAAGCTGAGGCCTGAAGCTAGAGACTTAGATGCGGCAGTTTGTGACTGCTGGCTTTTGGATGGAGTCCCTTCCAATATATCACAACTCCATTTTTCTACTGTCTTTTTTGTTTTGTTTTTATCAATTAACGTATATGACTAACAACCCCTGTTTATTACCTAGGCCCCAAGCCTCGCCTCACCTGTGTCTGAGCAAGGGTGCCGATGAGCACAGTTACACACATTCCTTAGGAATTTAGAAAAAGAAAAGAAAATAAAAGAAAGGCTATGCATTTCCTGGTGTTTTCTTAATGCCACTGCCACATGTCTGTGTGTCAAAATGGTCCCATCAAAATGTCCTGTGCCCTCCATTGCCAAGGGAAGTCTTCTTGCCCTGTACCAACACACCCCACACACATCACACACATATATACACACACATATACACACACACACACACTACACGCACACATACATATACACACGTACACACACATGCACCACGTACACCCCACACACAGTACCACACACACATGCACACCCCACACAAACACATACACAAATATCTACACATACACACAAACACAAACACACCACACCACACACACATACAAACATGCCACATATGCATCACACACGCACACACTGATAAGGTTTGGCTCTCTGTCCCCACCCAAATCTCATCCTGAATTGTACTCCCATAATTCCCACATGTTGTGGGAGGGACCTGGTGGGAGAAACTTGAATCATGGGGGCAGTTTCCTCCATACTGTTCTTGTGATGGTGAATAAGTCTCACAAGATCTGATGGTTTTATCAGGGGTTTCCACTTTTGCGTCTTCCTCATTCTCTCCTTGCCTGCTGCCATCCATGTAAGATGGGACTTTCTCCTCCTTGCCTTCCACCATGATTGTGAGGCTTCCCCAGCCACGTGGAACTATAAGTCCAATTAAACCTCTTACTTTTGTAAATTGCTCAGTTTCTGGTATGTGTTTATCAGCAGCATGAAAAAGGACTAATACACACCCCACACCCATACACCCCCCCAACACACATACACACACCACACACACACAAAGACACCACCCAGACACCAAACACACACACACACCACACCACATACACACACACACATGCATACATACACACACGTACACGCACCACATACACCACATACACCCAACACAAACACATACACACACCCCCACACACACACCACACACATACACACCACACACACACCACACACATGCACACACACAACATACACACCACACACATACACACCACACACCACACCACACATTCCACACACACCACACCACACATTGCACACACACTACATACACACATACCTACATCCATACACCCTACATCCCAACACCCCCCCACACACACACCCCACACACATACCCCACACGCAAACAGCAACCACACACAAATCACACCACACACACACAAACACACCTGTACACRTACACGATATATACCACATACAAACACACCACATGCCACACTACACACCGCACCACATATCAGACACACACATCACACACATCACATATCTCACACACACACACAAATCACACCACATACCACATACACATACACAGACACACCACGCATACACAAACACCACACACCACACACAAATACACCACACATACCCTACACCACATACACACACAAAGATACCATGCAGACAGAAAACACACATGAACACACCACACCACACACACACATCACACACACACCATACATGCCACACAGACACCATACACCATACACACATACATACACAGTACACCCGTACATTACACACACGTACACACACCACATAAACACACTACACACGTGATATACCACATGCACACATACACACACACACCACAAATATTACAAACACACACACACACAGCACACACGCTGCTGGGAACTGGCTGATGCTCTGGGGACAAGCCTGGCCCCGAGGCACCTGAGTAGAGGAGAGCCACTCCCGCTTCCCTCACGGGGCTTTCCTCCTTCTGGCCTTTCTCGGCCACTTCTGGGCAGCTTCCTGGTTGGCAGGAACAGCCTACTGCCTCCTCAGCTGCTTCACAACCACATGCCCTTTCCTTAGCCAGTGTGCATTGCCATTTGCTGGGGTTCATCCACAAAGGCTCAAATGTCAGAAATTTACGGAGCTTTTGCTTCCTAGTGGGACCCATCTTCTCTCTTGTTCTTTGAAAAACTACATCTAAAAAAGTACCCTGCTTGTGAGCACAAGCTTTTCTCTACCATGATCAAGCCAATGGCTGAGTGCCCCAAGTGGCCCAGAAATCTAAGGAAACAGCAAATCCTTGGGTCCTCATTACCCCCTGGCAGTCTGTGACCAAACCACTTGCAGTGTTCAAATGGAAGACAGTGACTGCCCAGACAATTTCATGTGTGAGCCCTCCTCAAACACAGCAAGACTGCCCCAGAAGAGCCTGGCGCCCTGCGGGCACCAGATCATGAGTTTGCATTCTGGCTACGGCCAAACAGTACCCCACCTTGGGCCTCAGTTTCCTCATCTATAAAATAAACTCAAAGATTGCTTCCAGTCCCCAGATTCTCTCGTCCTGTACTCTTACTGTGGAGTATATGTCATGCTTATCTAGGGGGAAGGGGATTATTTTTTCAGATCCTAAATGTTGTAAGCTCAAACTCATAGTCATTTTGAATAATGTCACGTTAATTCGTGTAAGTAAATAGCTATACTACTGCTTTAGTGTGTTTTTATAGGGAAAAGTGAATGATTTGGGAAATTTCCTGTCCCCAAAAATGTGTCTTGAGCACATACCTTTCTTTCTCAGCTTTATAGCTAAAATGGAATTTTGTCCATTTCTTTCCAGACTAAGGGGCCAGGCTAGGGGACCCCCCTCCATTTCCCCTTGAAATGCAGAAGCCCACAGTCCTCAGCAAATGGGCCAGGGGGAAGCAGGTGGTGAAACAGAAAGCAAGGGCATCTGTGGGTCAGAGATCTGGCTTCTCCCTAGGCGACAGTGCCTGGGGGCATGGGGGGAGCTTTGGGCACGGAGGGATCCTAACCTGCAAGCCTCACACACTGTTTGGGGCCATGGCAGACGATGACAGCTGGCCTTTAACCCTTAGTGTCACCTCAACCTTTGAGCTTTAAGTTCTGATAGATATGGGGGTGGAGGGAGTAAACTGGATGAAGAGTGCCAAAAACACCTGGAGGTATCAGCAAATAGGAGCTAAACTAGCATTTTGCAGGGGAAAGAGTTGATATAAAATAGAGTTTGAGATTAGCGTGGTTCATATTGGGTTGGTGCAAAAGTAACTATAGTTTTTGCCATCACTTTTAACAGCAAAAACCACAATTACTTTGCACAAGCCTAATAAATGTAAAGGTTGCTACTGAAGGCCTCCATTTCTACCCAGTGTTTTAGGGTTTGATGTTGAATGACTGCTTTTGAGAGGCATCTTTTAGGGTTTGATGGTGAATGACTGCTTTTGAGAGGCAAAGAACGGACTGGGCTTTTAAAGAGTGGACTTACGTGTCCCAGGTGGGGTGGGTGACATCTCCTAGGGCTTTGGAGTTTCACCCTCAGCCCTGATTACAGGCTGTTTGATGGGCTGATTGGGAACCCACAGGACATAAAGCATCAGGTGCTTCAGACCTCCAAGTGGGCACTTTTGCTGGTGTGTGCAGAACGGGGGCTCTTGAAGGCCAACGAGCTGTTTACAGGGTTTTTCTGATGTGAGTCCAAGAAACTATTCCATGTCCCCTTTGTTTCTCTCCACAACCGACCAACACGTTAAGTCCCAGGAGCAAACCTAAACCCAAATTGTGAATTTCTAGGTCACAAGAGAACAGGGCTTAGTCAGACTATTTACAAAGCCCTGTCAACACACATGAGAGGGAGAAGGCCAGCCGATGCCAGTGACATTTTGTAGATTTCTTGTAGCATGTTTGGTCCATTCTTTTCCTATTAAGCATTCAAATCCTCTTCATATTCTCTAAAGCAGGATTCTGTCATCTGCTCACCCACTGAGGCTCAGTAATCCAAGACACATGCCTGGAGCCACACTAGGTTGGATGTCCCCAGGGCCTGGTTCCACCACATCATACACTACACACAGACACGCACCAGGCATGCCTCATGCAGAGGCACCAAGCATGCGAGCTAGGAGCTCCCAAGCCTCCATCCCTCAGCCTCAGCCCAGAAGTCTTGAGCTCTCTCTGCAGGGCTGGCTCACCGTGACCTCAGCACAAAATGCCTTGTTCTTACAAGAGCTCTCTGATGTTAGCATGGCAGGTATCACCCCATTTTTCTGGATAGAAAAACTGAGGCATAAGCCGAAGAAGCAGCTGGCCCAAAGATACAGAATCCCATTTAATAGAGAGTTAAAGGTCAGGGCAGAAGCAAAGACAAATTTCCTCCCTACCTGTAGAGGAAAGAGGCCCTTCCTAGCACAAAGGGTCGCCCAGCAGCCTGGACCTTACCTCAGCTCTAACGCCCAGTTCACGGCCTGACTGCTGCTCACCACTACCTTCCTTGCTCTCTGTATTAGTCTGTTCCCATACTGACATTTTGCTCTTCTCCCCTTGATTCAACTCAACTGAGAGAGCAGGAGTAACTCTTAATCACATGCATTAGTGGGAGAGTCAAGCATGGATAATACAGAACAGCAGGTAACCCCAAAAATGCTTCCAAGTGGCCCTGGGATATAACCTATGAGTCATTAATTATACAAAGGAATTAGAATTGCCTATGTAAATTGTGACCACACGATGGATGGAAGGAAGCAGGGCTGCCATAATCCTTAACTCCAAAGATACCTTTCAGCCCATAGATTATAAAATCAATGGTACTCCCTGGAGTTGTGCAGTGCACAGCCTGTGCAACTGTATATAGAGACCTTGGTGGAGACCAGTCAAGGCTATCTGAGCAGAAAAGGAAGGTAACAAGGAAGAAAGAATGACCAGAGGTCACACAGAATTGATCACAGCACTTGGAAAAGAAAATATAAAGATTTCACACATAAAATTTAAATGTACTAAACATTTTAAATACAACATTTAATACACACAGCTCGTGAACCCCTGTAATAAGGCATTATCCCATTCGTGCAGACTCACAATAATTTACATAAAAAGCTTCAGAGAGCAACCAAAGAACTCAGTGTTAAATTATGCTTAGGGAAAAAAAAAGGTTAGGGATTGTTTTCTTATTCAGGGACAGGTGGGTGGGAAGAGAAGGGGCCTGCTAGTAGACAGGTGAGAAGCCACCCACCAAGCTGCTCATCACCTGTTCTTCAGCCTATTGAGTACCCAGGGCTGAGGGGAAAGAGGCACACTGTCCACTCTGCTCCCCTGAAGTTGTGTTGCTTTATAACATGTGAAAGAAACTTAGAGTAACAAGTACCTGACACAGGAAGACTTTGGTCTCTAAATGATCCCACATTTGCAGCCCGTTGTAGATTTTAGTTGGAAGAGAGGAGGCATGTCACCCCTTTCCTTTTAGAGGCCGCGGGTCGCAGCATGGACTTGGTTTTCTGGTCGTCACAGCAAAGCCGGCATCCACAGCAGGAGTCTGAAGTCGGCCAGGCCCAGGCCATACAGCAGGGCTTTCCAGGGCATGGGACAGGGCCCATCAACCTCAGAGCTGGGCATGTTGTCCCCTGAGCTTTCTGGTTCAACTGGAACCAAGCTGGGTTTAGACTCCAGTGAGACCGGAAAACAAACCCTGGACCTGTTGCCAGGAGACCTAGGCTTTAGTACGGCTAGCACCCCGACTCACCGAGTGGGTTCAGAGAGTCCCTTCCCTTTCTGGACCCCCGAGGGAGGCTACTCGAGCTTTGCATTTCCTCCTTCCCGACCACAGCCGCCCGCCAAAGTGCCCAGGTAACTCTAGAAGCTGCACCAGGACATAAAACTGCACGTCACCAACCAGCACTGACCCAAGCAAAGACACGTGGCTCTGTGTTCCCATGTCTTTCCTTCTTTTGCCACTTCCCAAGCCCCCCTCCCCTAGGATCAGTCCAGGTTTCCCGTATCATGCCATGCCAGGAAGGAACTCACAAGAATTTAAACATGAAAAATGGAGCCAGGCACTTACCTGAAGAAAACACAGGAAAATATATTCTATAATCTAGCAGTGAGAAAGGTGTTTTTAAGCATGACGCAAAACCTCAATATCTTCACATCTGGTGAAACTTGATCAGTTTCACAGATTTCCATTTAAAGGAGAACACCACCAAAAAACAAAGGAGAGCACCATCAAAAAAACAAATGAACAGATAAACGAAAAGCTGGAAACATAGTTAGAATTTATATCACAGGTGAAAGATTAATTCCCTTGATACTAAAAAGCCCATCAGGGTATGAGGGGTCTAATAAATAGCATCCCCTTTTTCTGCCAAAATTCCCTACCAATGAGGCAGTAGGCAAGTCAGAACCCAAAACTCAGCTTTATTACTGGTGGATCCGCCTGAGAATGTGATTTAGGTGTGTAAAGAACAGGTTCTCTCATACTGGATCCCAGGATGAAGCAGATCCGCTCACCAGGACACAAGCAGCTCTAGATGCCTGCAGGCCAGAGCATAAGCTGAGGGCCACCAAGAGCACAGATTCTCCGCAGGCATGTCCCAAAGGGCAGGGAGGGAGAGGGAAGGGCCGAGGTAGGCATACACGCTTCCTCCTCTCAAACTTGCAATCAGATCATTTACCTCTCCTCCTCACAGTTGGAGTGAGGGAAGGGAAGGGGACCAGAGGAGGACAAGACTTACATTCACTGATGCCCTTTCATTAAGAAATATAAAACATCAAGAAGGGGAATTCTCCTCTCTCTTTCAGTAAGTTCCAACAAGTCAGTAGGAAAATGAGCAACAATACATTAGAAAAATGGTAGGAGGATATGAACAGACAGTACATGGAAAAGGAAATTCAGATACACACAAAAATATTCATAAAGAATACAAAACCTCCTTTATTATATGAAAATCTAAACTAAAACCACAGTGAACTATCATTATGTACCCATCAGATTGGCAAAAGTTAAAAAGCCCTGTCACCACACTGCGTTGGCACAGGTGTGGGGAAATTAGCATTTTCATGCATTGCTGAGAGGATGGCTCAAGTTTTACAGAGGATGGTTGGTCAATAGGTGTCAAAATAGATGTCAAAATCCCAAAGGCAATAACTTTGACCCAGCAAATCCACATCAAGGTGTTTATCCTAAATATACGTGGTATGTGATAATCATTGCACCATTGTTCTTACAAAGGCAAAAGACTGGAATCAACCCAAATGTACACCCATAGAGAACTAATTCAATAAATTAAAATATATCAATACAGTGAAATATTATAGAACTGTGATTATATTTAGGCAGCAGTTCTGTATGTCCTAACATGGAATAAACTGTAAGTTGTGTAACATGAAACACAGACAGAATTTTTGTATAGAATGCTATCATTTGTTTAAAAAATAGAATATATATGCTTGGATATGCATAGAGGCCTTCTAGAAGTTTATATGAAAAACTGGTAATACAGGTTGCCTTTGGAGAAATAAGCCAGGGGAATGGGGGTGAGAGGGAGACTTGCTTTTCACTTTGTATGCTTTTATGTCCTTTGAATTTTATGCCATGTACATTCATTATCAGAAATAAGTAAATGGACTATGTTAGATGCTGGTTTCATCACGTAGTAGTGAGAATCCTGAGGGTAGAATTAAAACTCATCCCAGGCAAGCCCAAGATCATCTCCAACTCCCTCCCTCAGCCTAGTTAGATTAAATCTGGCTGCCAGGCCCCCAAATTGAATGAGAACATCTTTGCTCTCACTAGACCTGGCTTGCCCCAGCTGGGCGAGGGAAGTGGGAGAATGGTCCTGCAGGACCAGGAAACCAGGGTGTTTGCCTCAGGATACTGTGTCTTCCTGGCGGCACAACAATCAAGCCAAAGTGAAGCTTCCAAAGGACAGCCAGTTTCCTCTCCTGAAGCCAGTCCAGGCTGGGCCAAAGGAGCCATAAGTGCAGAGGGAAGATGAGCAAAGTTTGGCCACAGTGTGAGTGGCCTTTGAGTTTTAGAAGGTTCTAGAAAGTGTTCCAGCAACTCAAGACCAGCTGTGATTATAGGCCCACCCAACCCCTCCATCCCACCACCCCACATCTATTCTGCCCACACTTCTTCCTTTCACAGTTCACCCGTAAACAACATGGGTTTGAACTGCATGATTTTTTTCAACAAATGCACTAGAAAATTTTTTGGAGATTTGCAACAATTTGAACAAAATGCCCAGACAAACCGCATAGCCTAGAAATCTTGAAAAAATTAAGAAAAAGTTAGGTATATCATGAATGCATAAAATATATGTAGATACAAGTCTCTTTTATAATTTACTACCATAAAATAGACACAAATCTATTATAAAAAATTAAAATTTATCAAAACTTATGCCCACAAACTCTTACTGACAATATATGACACCATTTGCAGTGGAGAGAAATGTAAACAAATGTAAAGATGCAGTACTGAATCACAACTGCATAAAATTAACTATAGTGCATATTGTACCACTGTTGTAATTTCACAGCCACCCCCTGTTGCTGTTGAGGTAAGCTCAAGTGTTGCAAGAATCTGCTTAAAATGCCACGTGATGCTATTCATCTCCACATGGGAAGGTTATCTCTCCAGTAAACTGTATATTGCAATAACAAGTGATCTCTTCCGGTTCTCATGTATTTTTCATCATGGTTACTGCAATACCATAAACCTTGAATAACACCATGGGACCCATACAAAGTGCCACTGGTGATGCTGGAAGTACTCCCAAGAAGCAGAGACAAATCACGACATGACAAGAAAAAGTTGAATTGCTTGAGCTCTGCAGCTGTGTTGTCCACCTTTCAGATAGACAATTCATCTTGTAAACAGGAGACATCAATTACAGTATCAATAACTACAGTACAGTACTGTAAGTGTATTTTCTCTTCCTTATGATTTGCTTAATAACATTTTCTTTTCTCTAGCTTACTTTATTGTAAGAATACATTATATAATACATATAACACACAAAATATGTGTTAATTGACTGTTTATGTTATTGGTAGGTTTCTGGTCAACAGTAGGCAGTTAAGATTTAGGGTAGTCAGAAATTATGTGCGGATTTTTTACTGTGCCGAAGTCAGTGCCCCTAACTCCCCACACTGTTCAAGGGTCAACTGGACTTGGTTCTGCCACCAAAAACCTCCCTAATTAGGATCCATTCTATTGATCAATCTCTAACAAGGACCCTTAGGATGAGTAAAGTAGGCTATCTGTCCTTCTCTGCTTAGTGAAAGTTTTATCCGATGCCTAGCTGGGATCTGTTGCCATCAAGGAAGGGAAGAAGTGCAGGTTGATTGGAGAAGAAGCTTTTGGAACTGAGGGGCCTGGGGGAAGAGGGCAGGCCTCGCAGGCCATCAAGATGGTGGGTTTTGAGCAGCCAGGGGCCAAAAGTAAGCACATGGGAGAGAAAAGTGCAAAAAAATAAAAAACAAAAAATAAAGATTAGAAACAAGGACAACGCTTGCAAACTAAAAGGTGAGGCCTTTTATGAAATTCTTATGGAAGAGACAGACACGTCTGAGGAAAGGGAAGTGTATATGCTGCTTCCCAGAGCATATAATTCAAAGCTAGCAATGAAGACAAAGGGCCTTTAAGCCCACTGCCTCCTGACAGTTCACTTCCCAGCTACTGTGGCAAGTGTTGAAATAGCCTGTCCATCCTACTGGAATCTGGAAAAAATCACCCTCAGAGGAAACCACAGCAAAGAGAAATTACTCATGGTGGGCCATTCATCAGCGGGAAGCTCCAGCCCCAGAGCTCCACGCCTGGAGTTGATGACTGCCCAAAAGAGAGAACACCTCGATGTGGGAGCAGGAATATCCATCACCACCAAGGGATCAGATGGGGGCACTGAAGAAGTCACACAGCAGCATGCAGCACCCTGGGCTGGGGGTGCCATTGTGTGGGCAAGGGAGCATCTGTGTGCATGTGGGTGCACACGTGTGTTTCTGCACCCAGGCAGCCACTGCTTGCAGACTCTTCTGGCTCCTGTCATTTCCGCCATGGGCATTGGGTGCAGCAGCAGCAGAAGAAGAAGAGATATGGCCTCACTCCTACCATGGTGCACAACAAAAATAGCTTCACTGACTTTACTCATCACTTCCCTTACCAGAGATCTTGCATCCATGAATGCTATGTCCTCTTTGGTCCAATTTAACTCCCTAATAGACCAGAAGTTACAAACCTACAAAAGAAGGGCCCACAGAGAGCCTGGCTGGTAACATAAGTGTCAAGGAACTATGGCAAACCAGAGAGTGTGTGTCTCATAAAACACATTCAAATTCAGATTTGTGTTAAACCCCATGCTGACAAAGTAAAACAAAACATGTGAACCCTCTGCAGGCTATAAGCTCTCCAATGCTGGTTACAATGAATAGTAAAGTTCAGATAGATAAAATGGCAAATAACACTGCAATTAATAACCAGTTCTCTAAGACAGGTAGAGATAGAAAGAGAAAGAGAGAGGGTGAGATAAAATCCTCATGACAATCTCATAAGGTAAGTACTTCTGTTATTCATTTTACAGGTGAATAAATGAATAATCAGTGAGGAAACGGAGACACAGAGATGTTAAGTAGCTTGCCAAAGGTCACACAGCTAGTAGTACCAGAGTCAGAACTTGAATTTAAGTAGGCTGTCTACAGAGCTGAAATCAGGTTTCTTGTGAATTAAAAAGCTACAAGGGAATTGAGCTCTGTCGCATAAAGGCATGATTATTTAAGTCTCTGGCTGTGTCTCTACTAAGTAGCCTGGAATCCCAAGCACACACTCAGGGCTTTCCAATCTCTATAGAAAGCAAAATCCTACCAAGAAATTCCCTCTTTCCTTTATGGGATTTGCTTGGTGGATTTGCTTGGTGGATTTGCTGGGTAATTTTCTCTGTTCTCTCCTTTTCTCTTGTAGGTGGACTTGGTGACCAGTGAAAGCCAATGACTTTCTGATGTAAGAACTAAGGTATTTCCATGCAGTCCACATACACTGTGGAGAGAGTTCTGTCACCTACCAGCTGTTTGACCTTGGGCACATCCCCAGGCCATAGGGATTGTCAGCTGTAAGAGGGGCAGGCTGGAGGAGATGATCACTTAGCTTCCTCCAGGCCTATAAGACAAAGTAAAAATAGGGTCTTAGGGCTTTTCTTAGCTCAGGCTGCTATAACAAAATATATAAACTGGGTAGCTTAAACTAGGGGTCCCCAATCCCCGGGCCATGGACCCGTGCCAGTCGGTGGCCTGTTAGAAACCCAGCTGCACAGCAGGAGGTGAGCGGTGGGTGAGTGAGCAAAGCTTCATCTGTATTCACAGCCACTCCCCATCACTCTCATTACCACCTGAGCTCCGCCTCCTGTCAGATCAGCAGTGACATTAGATTCATAGAAGCATGAACCCTATTGTGAACTGTGCATGCAAGGGATCTAGGTTGCATACTCCTTATGAGAATCTAATGCCTAATGACCTGTCACTGTCTCCCATCACCCCCAGATGGGACCATCTAGTTGCAGGAAAACAAGCTCACGGCTCCCACTGAGGCTACATTATGGTGAGTTGTATAATTATTTCATTGTATATTACAATGCAATAATAATAGAAATAAAGCGTACAATAAATGTAATGCACTTGAATCATCCCAAAACCATTCCTCCACCCTCTGTCCATGGAAAACTTGTCCCTGGTAATTTGGGAACCACTGGCTTAAACAGCACACATGTACTTATCGCAGTTATGGAGAGTGGGAAGTCCAAGGTCAAGGTGCTGGCAGATTCAGTGCATGGTGAGGTGATGAGGCCTCTCTTCCTGGTTTGCAGGTGGCTGTCTTTGTGTTATATCCTCCCATGGCCGAGAGAAGGCATGCTCTGCTCTCTTCCTATTCTTATAAAGGTGCTAATCCTATCATGGAGGCTCCATTCTTATGACCTCATCTAAACCTAATTACTCCCCAAAGGTCCCACCACCAAATGCCATAATATTGAGGATTAGGACATCAACATATGAATTTGGGGAAGACACAGACATTCAGCCCATAGCAGGGCTGATAGATACACACAGCCCAACAGCTGCTGCACAATGCATCTTGAAAGAGCATACCATGCTTATCACACAGCCTCATTACAGCCCCCTCTCCCTTCCTTTCTGTATGACCACCTGCTTGCTGGCTGAGGGCATGTATTGTAATTCTGAAGAACCTCAGTCCTCTCTTCCAAGTCTCCATTCCCAGACCATTGCGTAGCCTGAGCCTTCACACCCATTCTTCAGGGAGAGTGAGGACTTTGAGCACAAGCCAGAGGGTAACTGGAAACCCCTTTACTCTTGTGATTCTCAGATTCACTCCCTGAGGACCTGCATTTTCTAACTTGTTATTGTACTCGTTCGCTAAAAGCCAAATAAAGAACTTGCACCTGAAAAATACTGAACCTTGTATGGTACTTGGAGTTCCAGGGTGTGAAACTGGAGGTTAATCCTATACTCCTGCAATGGGGAGAGAGCTGAGGAACCGAGGAGCAGCCTTCCAAAGCACACAGCTGGCCCTGGATGTCTTCCCAGCTCTGCTGGAGAAGGAAGGGTGGGTCACCCCACAAGGGCCAGGCAGCCAACGCCTCCCCAGGCCAGGGGTCCAGCCAGAAGAATCCCACAGCCCAAGGTCCCTGTCAGTCCTGAGGCCTGGCGCACAGTCAAGACAGGGGTACTGCTGCCACCTGGAGCCACCACCCATCACTAGCTGGTAGTGGCACTTTAAGCTTCTCCAGGGGGCATGACTTGTGACTTTGGTGACTATGCCAATAGCCAAAGAGCTGTTTAAGTGATCAGTGATCCAGGTATTTATTGCTGCTCAACAAGCCACCCCAGCCTGATAGTACTTAATGATGATCATTTGTTATCATTATTCCTCATGTTTCTAGGGGTCGGCTGGGCTCAGCTAGCAGGTTCTCATTGAGGTCCCTCATGCAGTTGGTCAGGCAATGGCTGGAGCAAGAGACATCCTGGAGGCTCCCTTACTCACAGGTCTAGCAGTGGAGGAGACAGAGAGCCCCCACTGTGGCTGCTGGCCTGAGCACCTCTCTTCATGGCCTGGGATTCCTCACTTTGGTCTTTATTAAGGTTCTTCTCTGTTATGGGAGATACAAGAGGAACAAAGAGGTTTAGGCTGTGGAATCCATTCCCCACTAATTCAGTCTCACTCCGGAGATGGTGGCCCCAAAATCAAAAGACACTGAAGAACCATAGGAGCTAGCACAAGGAAGGCAATGTGGACAAAGGGGCCAAGATGAGTCGATGTCAGCACAGTGGAAGGTGATCCACCAAGACAGCGCCCTGGAAATGGATCATAAGTGTCACATCACTGGCGCTGGCTTCAGTGCCGTCGTTCTTCCCTTGGCTGTTAGCAAGTGTGTTTGTTTTGTTTGTTTGTTTTCTTCTGTCTTGATGTCAGACTCGGTGAGTAGAGCAGGTGATGAAAGTAGTGTTTGGACCCCAGAATAGGAGTTGGGGGGAAAAGATATAGGATGAACTTCTCTCTCTCCACCTTTAATCACTTATTCTTCCCACCAGGGCTTGAAGTTGATCCCACCTTCATCTCTGAGGGCAGCTGAGCAGATCAGAGCTGGTATCTGCGGTGAAGTTGATGAAGCTGGCATGGAAGACCCTGTCTAAGGTATGAGACGGATACAGCCTGGGGGATCCAAGCCAAACCCTCAGATGGTGTTGAGTCACTCAAACATGGTGAACCCCGCTGGTAGGCAGAGCCCAGCGCATGTGAGCTGACCAGGAAGTGAGAAACAAGCCCAGGGTTAGAGATGGACTGGACCTGGAATTAAACAAGGGTTTCATCATGAGCAAGGTGAGGTGGGTATGGAGGGCTTGGCTTTGCCTTTATTGGGCTTTAGATCATATGGTGCTTGGGTGAGTCAGACTACAAAACAGCCTGATCTCTGCTAAAATAATAGCAAGGCGAGGAAAGTTTCATTGAGCTCCTACTGTGAGGCAGGCACTCCACAGACACTTTCTGTACATATTTCCTTTCGTCCTCTTAACAACCCTGTGAGCGGTTATTATTCTTATTCTATAGATGAGGAAACTGAGGCTCAGGGAGGGGACAGTGTCTGTTCAGAGATCAAGGATTAAGTGGTAGACCCAGGACTATGAACCTCAGCAGCCTGGCCCTGCCCGAGCAGCGGCTGCCACCTGGGCCACTTCATGGAATGCCAACAATGAGCCTGTGATGTTGGCGTCTTTCCCCCTTTTCTCCCAGTGAGAACACGGAAGACAAATGACTTGTTTGGTGAGCTGGTAAGCAGCAGAGTAGGGATTTGAACCCATTTTAACTCCCCAGTTCAAGTCCTTTTCACTGCTCCAAAGGCTCTTATTTGGGGTCGGTGGTGGGGCATTGAGACATGAAGTTAAGGAAGAAAAGAATGTCAAACAGAGCTCAGTATCACCCCAGAAGAAGGAAGAAAGCAGATTGTTAACAGAGGTGAAGGCCGGGACAGGGAGCAAGGCTAACCGTATGCCGTCTCCTATTTTGCACTTAAAAAAAGAAAATCGCCTATCATTTAAAAAAAAATTATCTGTCCTGAATGGCTGAAGGAACAGGTACTCGGAGCTAGACACCTGCTTCCCTCACAGTCTGTTTCCAAACTGTTGGAAACAATCTGGCCTGGCACATGTCTCCTGGTCCCAGGGACATCTGAAAGGGGCCTTCCTAGCTAGGTCCAAAGAAAACATTCATTTTGATTATAGAAAGAGGAGCATCTGCTAGCCTGGATTTGTGGGAGAGCCCGTAATCCCTGCATTTTCCCTCCTATTAGCCTTCTTCTCCAGGAAAGAAATGTCCTGCTCTTTAAAGTCAAGGCCATAAAATTCTGACAGCTCGCTTGCAAACAGAGCCGATTCTGGAACATGAAACAGCCCTTCAGATAAAATATACAACTCAGGTGTGGGAGTGAGAGGGCCGGGGTCTTAAAACTGAATCAGTTGTTAGTTACATTCTATTTTATGGATCTATCTGGGCAGTTCCCTACTGTAGAGCATCACTAATTCCAACATTTTGGACATATTTCCCATTAGACCTTTATTTGAAATTTTATGCTTCCCCTCATAAAAACCTTCAGCAGATTAATGTGCTTGGGATGTTTATTTATAAGTACAGCTGGTCTCCCTTCGAGTTGTTTTTATTATTGGGTTGCCTGAGCGTGCCCTTTGAGCGGGAGCAAAAGGGTGGGACTGCAACCCAGGAGCCAGCATTATCTCAAAGAGATGCAGAAACACACGATGGGGGTGGGGTGGGGACAATGGAGGACATGAGATGGCCATTGAGGTCTACCATGCAATGAGGCACTTGGTGGCTCCCTTCTGCTGGTTGCCATCATACGTGTCTGGAGCAGGCATGTGTGGGTGGCAGGTACACAGGGGACCTCAGCCAGTTTTCCTGGTCTCCCAGAGGGGCCTGGCTTGTAAACCCTTCCTTTCAGGAGCCATCAGGACTGGCTTGACTCTGTTCCAAGAGAAGCTCTTCTCCTTTAAGCTGAGAAAGAGGATCAAGTTCTGACCAAGATTGCCAGTACTACTCTAATCTTGGATGAAAAATCATTGCTTCTTTAACAAGATACATGATCATCAAATGTCTTGTAAATTTCTAAATTTGTATCATTCTTTCCTCTATCCTCCTGCTTCATTATTTTTGCACTAAAAATGAACAATACCATTAAAATGTTTAAAACAAGGTGTGTGTGTGTGTGTGTGTGTGTGTGTGTGTGTGTGATTTTACTCAGAGTCAACAGATTGCAGGTTTTTATTGTACATTTGGCTTTTTAGGTCTCTTGCCTTATAGGAAAACTCTTTTGAAACATCAGTGATGAATATTCCCCCAGCCTCTGTTGTCTTTCCCCAGGACTGGGTGTATCACTGCCCTTTGATTATTGGGAAGTTCTACTTTCTATTGGCAATAGATCAGCCTCTCTTCAAGTCTCCTATCAGTCCTACCCCTGCCCTCTGGGGCCACATATTCTGCTTCCTCTCCTTCTTCCCCATGAGAAATCCAAGGACCATGGCTAGTCCTCCCAAAATCATCCTTTCCCCAGGCAATATGTCCCAGTACCTTCCTATCCTCTGAGTGAGAACCCAAATGAGTATTTGCCAAATTAAATCTTTTTCATCTTCCTAGGACTAATGGGTTCCTCTGTCAGTAAGACCACTAAGCACTTGTCACCCATGCCAGCCATTAAGCAGTTATGTACTCTTGGCAAAGACTATTTCAAACTCATGATCCTGGGATCCAGGGGGACATATTTTTTTATTAGTCAGATGTCCTTCAATTACACAGACATTATCCAAAGCAGAAGATTTTGAACCCAAAGAAAGAAGGGGAGAATCTTCATAACAAATGGCAAGAGATTAATATTTATCTTGCTCTTGCTTTCAAAGATGTTTGGTGATGTCCAATAGCATAAGAAAATACAATTTGGGGATTAAATATTAAATGTATGTGGTCTTTGGAAGGACGAATGCTCCAGCCCCCATTGCCTCATATTCTCTGTGAGCCCTTTGCTCCTAGCTAGTCATCAGTGCTCAACAGCCCTCTGAGTGTCTGGAAACTCTGGTCAGCCCCTAAAATCCCAGAGGCCACAGGAAAGCAGGGGTAAAAGCAAGTGTGATCATGGTGTCCAGTCATTTAGGGGAAAAGCTGAACAGTTGGTACAAATAACCTCTTGAAAATACTAAAGATGTTAACAAAGATGTAGCCCTGGGACCTAAAACTTTCTGTCATACCCATGGCAAGACAGAAGGCCCTGGGAGACTGGGAATAACCCTGGGAGACTGGGAATAACCCATCCGTCAAGCAGCTGAGACCTAGCTTGTGCCACACTTTTGAATTAAGCAGGTCAAGTCAGTGCTGCATTCCAGAAGAGGTGTTCTGATTTATACACAGCCTTACTTCTGTTGGCCCACACCTATCTGAGTAACCTCCTGGATCCAAGTCCTTTGTTTCCACCAAACTGACCAAGCTTACAGATGACAGTTGCTTAGGAGAGAGGAGGCCTTCAGTAAGAAAAGTCTGAGAGCAAAGTTGGGCTATTTCCTATGCCCATCACCAAGATGGGCACTCAGACAGGTGAGAGCTCACACCAGTGAGGGCTTGGGATGGACAGGGAAGACTTCCAGAAGAAGAAAAAAGCCTGAGAAAGGAGGGAAGATGAAGAGGCAGTGCTTGGGAAGTGGAAAAGTGGGAAAACTCTACTCATCAGTTCATAGCATATTTGCAGAGGGAGAAAAGCATGGATCCATTATGTAAAACCGTCTGACTCAGAAAAAGATTTGGAACATGCAAACATCCATGCTTTTCATGGCTAGGTTAATCTCCATGACACAGGACTCCAGTCTGTGCCATCCCCTCTAAAAGACCGAAGTCTGTTTTGATCCTTCCCACCCTGCACCAAGGTTCATACCTGGCCCTCCCTGTACAGGATGGCACCCTTGGAATTCTTGGCTTTGATTTTAAGGTGAAATGAATCCTGAGAGTCTCCTTCTTCTAGCTGATACAACCCAAGGACTGGGTCCATCCCTTAAAAAAAGGAACAGAACTTCAATCCTGTCTCTTGGACTCTAGAGACTACAGCTCTGGTGCTATGGAGCCCTGGTCTAAGTGGTCTCCACCAAAGCCAGATGATTCATCCAACTCACAGGAAGAGAGATGCATAAGTAAGGAGGAGAAATTAAGATCCTTATCAACTGCTGGCCCTGCATGGACAAGTCTTCCTTCCAGAATTGCTTCTGATTGGTGGTATAGACGTGAGACAGACAACTTAGGACAGAATTTGGTTTCTTCTGATAAAGATTTCATAACTTGAATGTAAGGAACTTTTATTATCTTCTACCTGTCCCTGAACCACAAACTGGTGAGCAGGAACAGGTTTTTACAGACCATCAAATCCTTCCCCTGCCACTAGGCAAGGCAGGAGCCCAACAAACATTCCCAAATAAATCAGAGCCTTTTCCAAAGCTGGGACTCAGAGAATGAGAAATGGCTTCAGGGAGAGGTGCGAGGGTTCTCACTCTCTCCCAGGCCTCAACCCTGCCTCGCTTCAACTGAAATATTTCATCCTGCTTTCTGCATGCAAGTCTGCCCAGCGAAGGCAGACAGGGCTAACAAGTTTCCCATGAGGAAGTCGCATGCACACACACACACACTCACACACTCACACTCAGCTCAGTGTGTCCTAAGATCAATGACACTCCCCCAACTTACTTTGGGGGAATTTGTTCATTTGCTGAGCAAGGCTAGGTGATGTGTCTCAGTTATGAGGAAGATGTCCAATGAAAAAAAGCCAACCATCCTCCCACAAAAGATTCCTGTAGCCAATAAAGAGCCTCCATGAGTAATGTGGATTTGTATGGAGTGGGGAGGGGTGAAGATATGGGAGGCAAGGTGGCAACATGGCATGAAGTCCTGCAGAAAGCAGGCTCCAGACAGACCTTGGTACTGTGTATGTTCTGCATAACACACCCAGGCCAAGTACTAGGGCTCCCACAACCTTGTGGACAACAGGCTGGTGCCACAAGACCAGGAGGAAGGGAAAGGACAAACCTGTCTTCTTGGGGTCTGGTGAGAGTGGCTGCAGCCCTTGGAAGTGGCCTGGAAATACCTTGTGGGGTCCAGATGCTGCCCATCTTGATGTCTGTCTCCTCCAAGGAGGGGCAACTAACAGCTTTGGGCTTTTGTCTCATGTGATGCAGCCCCTTGTGGCACTATTTTCTAAGAAGAGCCTTCTCATCCCTGATTCAAGCTCCCCCAAACCTCAGACTCCTAGATCTGTCCTCATGACCTTGTCTGTACCCAGCACATTTCTGTTCTGATTTCTCATAGTCAACTTTTTAAAAATAGGTTATGGCATTAATGAGACTGGAGGTTTCTTTTTTTTTGCTTGTTTTTTTCCCATTATATTGTCCCTTTAACATGTACAGACCATTAGATTTATCATCCTCTTCCATCCAGACAGACATATTTGAAATTATCTGTAAACTATATACAACAACTAATGGAATATGAGGAAGCGGTGTCAGCCTCAGAGGATGTTGGGGGTACCCAGTGAGGTTACATGTGTTGGGCATGCTTGAAGTGTAGACACCATTATTCCCACCAGGCCCCTACTCCCTGTGATCTGGACCACCATGGAATCTCTTTCCTGCCAAAAAGCTCTGCCTGGACTCCAAGTCCTGCCCACAGATGTTTGACCAGAGGAGGTACCACCAAGTTCTGTGAGGCCCTGGGAAAGCTGCTATACCTCACTAGGGCTGACTGCTATCTGAACCCAAGGAGGGATCCCAGAGCTTCCAAAACACAGGACAACTCTGAGTTCCTTTCCAGGTGCATGTTCTACAGGCAATGGTCCTGTTTCGTCCATTGATTCCCTGGGGAGGACAAGGGATCCTGGAGTTTTCGGGTATAGTTGGCCGGACCTTTCAGGTGGGTGCAACTAGATCTGAGTAGGACATATGATGTTTACACATGTGAAAACAGTCACCGGGCAGCAGTAAGGACCAATAGCACCTCCCTTGCAGGTTCTGGGTTGCAAAAGGTGAAGGGAACTCCATGAATTCACTAGTTCACATTTCACTTTAGATTAGACGAAAAACCGCAGAAAAATAAACCGTGTCAATCAGCCCTGCTGTGTAAACAAGTGGTTGATGATAAGTCACGAGACAGTTCGCATTTCTTTATGAAGTGGCCAGCGACAAAGATCCAAAAACAAACCTTCTCTTTTAAGGTTATTTGGAAAAGGAACAAGGAAAGCATTTGTTTTACCTCTGGGAGTGGCCGAAACCAGCCCCTGGCTCCCCGAACAGCCTCTCTGAGCAATAGGCCTGTGGCTCTTCTACTGCCTGGAACCAGCTCCAGAGTCCAGCAATAGCCTGCGGTGGGCTGAGGTGAGGCCATGCAAGCTGCCCTGGCTCCCCCGAGGCTTCCACCCTGTCAGGGACATGCCTGGGATCTCCTCCTTAAGGCCTTGTTAACCCATAAGGCACCTTTGCACAAATTAGAAAAAGGCAGCCCTATCTTTAAGATCCAACTCTGAATTGGCAGGAATTGGCAGGAAGAGAATGCCTTTTGCAAATTAGAAAAAGATACTCCTACCTGTAGATCAGTTATCTGCAAACTTTTTCTGTTAAGGGTCAGATAGTAAATACTTTAGACCTTGGGGACTATAAGGTCTCTTTCACAACTAGTCAGCTGTGCCACTGTAGCACAAAAGCTGCCATAGACAACACATCAATAAATGGGCCTGAGTTCCAAAATATTATTTATTTACAAAACCAGGTGGTGGTCCTGATTTGACTCATGGGTCACAGTTTGCCAAGCCCAGCTCTGGGTAGGTGCAGCCTAGGCCCAGGGCTTAGCAAATGGAACACAGGCGAAAACTTGTCCACAGCTCATCCCTTTGACTGGGTGCACTTGTGTATAACCTACACAATCCTATATGGCGGTCCTGTTCCTGGGTCCCCAAGAAGATGGAGGCTTAAGAAGATAAACTCCTTCCACCTGAAATGGACCACCCCTGTGAGTCTCAGCATTCTTCATCTCTGCAATTCTACCTTGCTTCTTGCTTCAACAGCCTCCAGATCTTAGGATCAGGTCAATCAGAATGCCAATTCCTGTAAACCCCAAATCCTTTCATCATTCCACTGAGTAGCCCCAATGCAGTGAATTGCACTGAGCTTAGCTTTAAAAACCAGACTCATTCTATTACTTGAAAAGATAAAGACAAGATCTGCAAAGACAGGATGTTCAACAGAGCCAAATCACTGGGATTCTCAGAGGAGCAAAGCAGCCTGTCTCCTGAAGCCTCTTCTTTGGCAAAATGCCGATTCACCAATGAATAATTGGTTAGAGTAGAAGATTAAAACCATTGGCAGAAATGAGTTATTTCTGGACATTTTCCAGCTTGTTTTCCCCAACCAGTCGTCCAGTTATAATTAAAATATGGTGGTTGTTTCATGCAAAGCATAAACAGCCCACAAACTTACACTACAAGCAAAGCCTACAGAAAACCCATTTCTTACAGTACCAAAGAGCAGCAGCAGCAGCAATGTTTCCCAGGAACACTAGTCTGACTTTAAACGGAATACTCTGTTATATTACTCATCCTTGATTTGACCTTCATAAATACCAAAACCTTGCCATCCTGCATCGTGACATTTAATTCTTCCTGTCATCTAATGAGGCCACATTTTGTTAGAAGGTCACTTGTCATTTACAACTCTGAGGAAGACATATCATTTTAATGAAGCTCCTAACTCAGACTGAGCAATGAAATTGTGGACAAGATTATAACATGTACTGGCCTGGAGACAATGGAGGCCCTTGGACTTAGCCAGACCTTTGTGAGATCACACTAAAAGAATGAAAAACAAGAGAGGGAGACTGGCATTCCTGCAGAAGCAGCAGATTCTGCCTGGTGTCACCCTAAATTCAATTATCCAGAAGAAAGTGTGGATTCATGTTAATATATTTTACAAGGTCATATAATTTATCATCCTTTGTTTCTCTTTATGAATAACAGATTTTCCCTCAGTTACAAAGCACACTGGGGGTTGGTTGAATGGAGAGAGTGAAAAAGTCACTTCGTTTTTCCTGCGTTGAACAGAAGGGCATGCAAATTATTTTCCCTAAGATAGCTTGGCAAGAGTTCGACAAGGAGAGGTGCTAGGGAGTGCATGGCAGGGACATGGATTGTAGATGCATCCATACTTTACACTGGAAGGGGAGAATGAGGCCAGTGTAATAGCTATAGATATTAATGATGGTTGACGATGACCCCAATCCCTGCGCTGGCTCATGGAACGTGAGGGTACAGCCTTTCTGAGCAGCAATAGGAGCTGGCTAGGCACCTCTCAGAATGCAACTTAGGTGGGCAGGAACCTGCAGGTAGGAGTGAGTATTTAATTACAAAGATATGGAGCTTTGACTTGCTTAGGGAATGTGAAGTCCTTTCAGGTAACTATTTCATGACACACTGTATTTCATCATCATCTCAGACCCACTTCTCTGGCAGGGACCAAAGTTTGCCCAAAAACCTCTGACAGCAATGCCTCCTGCCACACTCCCCCTCTCCCCAACATACATACAGGAAAAGAAATTCCACGCTGGTCTCCTTCACACCTCTGAGCTTCATGTCACCCTCTGTTCTGGCCAGGAAATGGTATGCCATGTGGTAGTTGATGCAAATCTGGCCAAAGTGTCTGTGGAGGCCTTTGGTCTAAGAGTGTGAAAAACTGCTGGCAGCTCTTTTCTTGAATAGAGAGGTAAAAAGGAAGGGTAGGGAGCTTCAGGGAAGGAAGGAGACTCTCATACCCTAACTGATGAAGGCCTGCCTGGGAAGGAAAGGGAGGGGACTTCCGACAGCCTGATTTCCAGTCTGCTGAGGTTTTCCAGCAGTGACAGATTATCCAAAAATGAGTATCTCCCTCTTGATATGCTCTTCTACAATGTGACCTTGGCACTCTCCCACGCCCTTGAATCTAGGAGGGCTCTTGACCACTTTGACAAGCAGAGCACAGTGGAAATAACAGAGGACCAGTTCTGCTTCCTGCCTTTGGCATGCTGGTTCTTGGGATGCTCTCTCTCTCTGGAAAATCAGGCACCCTGCTGTGAGAAGCCAAAGCTACTTGGAGAGACCAAGCATAGATGTTCCAGTTGACAGCCCCACTGAGCTCCCACTGACAGCCACCACAAACAGCCAGCTGCATAAACAAGCTCTCAGATGTCCAGCTCAGTTGAGCCTTCAGATAACTGCAGTTCCAATCACCATCTGACTGCAATCACATAAGGGATCCCTATGGGGAGCCAGCCAGGTGAGACTGGCCAACCCACAGACCTTTGAAAGATAATCACAAATAATAAATAATAAGTTTCAGGGCAGTTTATTGCATAAAAAGAGAACCAAAACAGGGATATTCAAAATATATTATATGATGGGGCACTGACCATCCTGAGGGGCAATGGGCTTGGAGCACGGTCCTTAGAGACCTCCTGCTATCTCAGATATTTCTCCTTTAATCTCTGGATTGTGAGAAGGTCCAACAATTTCTGGGGGAGGGGCCAAAGTGGCAGAAGGGCACTCAGAGAGTTTGGAGTGGCAAGTGTTGCAGTTTTTAACAACTGTTACAGACATAATCCTGAGCACCAGCTGGGCATCAACCCTGGCATCCCCAAACCTGCAATTCACACCCACAGATCAAATATGGGACAGCAACCTACAGCTGCTCCCAGGTGAGGACATGTAAGTAGGTGCCACTAAGGCTCCAAGAGGCTGCTGAGAACCCAACATTGTCCCCTTTTTAGAACTTTTATGATTGCATTTGATTTTTACAGGGGTCCTTAGAGGGAGATATTACTGGCCTCATTTGGCAGTGGAAAAAATCTGAAGTCTAGAGAAATTAAGGAGGAATGGAGGCAATGATTGGGAAATATATAGGTTGGGATAGTTTACTTTTAGTTTTGCCTCTGACGCCACCTCACTCTGAGACCTTAAGTCAGTCCTGTGGCGTCCTGGAGGTTCCCTAATTCTAAAGTAGGAGAAGTAGAAAGATTCCCATGGGGACATCTGGCAATCACTATTCTCTGACTGTGTGACTTGCCTGAGGTCATCAGGAAGGGAACTGCAGAATCAGCACATGGTCTCAAGGCACTTGACTTCACAACCAGAGCTCACAATGACTATCCCCACAGCTGCCTGCCTGGGACACCTCCACCTCAATGTGCAAACTCTGTCTCCAGTTGCTGGGCAGGAGAATGTCTCCAAGTCCAAGCCCAGAGATGATTTTCTCTGCTTGTGCTTCTGGCCCTGAGGCTTCTGTCCAGATTTCTAAAAACCGAATCCTCACCCTCTGTGAGCAACTCTTAGCCATGCATATGTAGGATCTAACTATGAGATGAGGAAAGAGGAGGGATGGGGAGAGAGGAGATAAGGTGGGGAATTTACTCTGAATTTCAGCCAGATCTGCCCAGGCTAGGTTTGAATAACTCCTGCAGCCACCACACAGGAAGCCACTAATCAGGGCAGACACTGTCTCATTCAGCCGTTCAGGGCCCCTGTCCTGACCTAGTCCAAAGGCAGCACCGCGAGGTGATGAATCCCTCCTGAGATTGTGTGGTTTCCAGTAAAGCATTCCAGAATGTGAAACAGGCTTCAAAGGAATGTGTGTCTGCTCACTCCCTCCCTGGCTGGGAACCAGCCCAGGGCACCTTATTCTTATTAGGCTGGAGATGTCTGGGGCACTAAGCTTGAAAAATGCACTGAGGATTCTGACACAGATGGGGAACAGTGTGGCTATGCAGAAAACCCCACTGTTGGCAGCACGAGACTTGCTTTGAAAGATTTTGGGGGCAAGTAACGTAATTCCTTTCCATTGGAAATTTTCCAACTTCAAAATGGAAACGAGAATTTTTCTGTATCATAACTTTCCTATACCTATGAAGGACAGTGTGGGAGCTGAAGAATCCATTATCTGCTGAAAGGGGCAATGTGTTCCATACTGGCATCAAATGTGAAGGAGAATTCCCAGGGAGAGAATGAAGAGTGTCCAAAATGCAATGTCAGGGGAAAGGAGTTTGAAGTGAGATTTGGATGGGAGAATCTGGAAGGAACAGGTTGGAAGGAGCAAATATGATTGGATAGGAATGTGGGCAAATTCCTGAGAAGGGCACCAACATTCCCTGTTCTTCCATCCCCGAGTGCATGTCTGTGGTGAGCAGAGTGAGAAGGAGGGACATCTTGGCCCTTAAAGAACCTGGGAAGTTATTTATCCCCAGCTGACATGGGTGTGAACAGGCTCACAGCAGGTGTCCCACCTGTGGATGGTTAATTTTATGTGTCAACTTGGCTGGGCCACAGTATACAGATATTTGGTCAAACTCTAGTCTAGATGTGATTATGAAGGTTTTTTTAGATGTGATTAACTTGTAAATCAGTAGACCAGGCACAGTGGCCCACATCTATAATCCTAGCGCTTTGGAAGGCAGAGGTGGGTAGATTGCTTGAGTTCAGGAGTTGGAGACCACCCTGGGAAATATAGCAAGATCCCCGTCTCTACAAAAAATACAAAACCTAGCCAGACATTGTGGCACACACCTGTGGTCCCAGCTATTCAGGAGGCTCAAGTGGGAGGATTGCTTGAGCCTGGGAGGCAGAGGTTACAGTAAGCCAAGATCATGCCACTGCACTCCACCTGGGTGAGAGAGCAACACCCTGTTTTGAAAGAAAGCAAACATTTAAATCAATAGACTTTGAGTAAAGCAAATTACCCTCCATAATGTGGAGGAAGGACCAAAAGGCAGTAGACTACAATGCCCAATCCAAAGTCCAAGTCCTGCAATGGTCCTGCTCAGACACAGCAAGGGATGAGGAGCTCACTGACTCCAGAGGCAGCACTTTCCATTTTGGGGCAGCTCTTATCATGTGATATGCTTTGCCTGTGCCCCCACCCAAATTTAGTCTTGATTTGTAATCCCCATAATCCCCAAATGTTGTGGGAGGGACCCTCTGGGAAGTAATTGAATCGTGGAGGTGGTTTCCCACATGCTGTTCTTGCGATAGCAAGTGAGTTCTCATGAGATCTGATGGTTTTATAAGCATCCGGCATTTCCCCTGCTGGCACTTTCTCTTTCCTGCCACCCTGTGAAAAGGTGCCCTCCACCATGATTGTCAGTTTCCTGAGGCCTCACCAGCCATGCAGAACTGTGAGTCAATTAAACCTCTTTTCTTTACAAATTACCCAGGCTCAGATATTTCTTCATAGCAGCATGAGAACAAACTAAAACAGTAAATTGATACCAGGAGTGGGGCACTGATATAAGGGTACCCAAAAATGTGAAAGCAACTTTGGAACTGGGTAACAGGCAGAGGTTGGAACAGTTTGGAGGGCTCAGAAGATAGGAAAATGTAGGAAAGTTAGGAACTTCCTAGATACTTGTTGAATGGCTTTTACCAAAATGTTGATAGTGATATGGACAATGAAGTTCAGGCTGAGGTGGTCTCAGATGGAGATGAGAAACTTGTTGGAAACTGGAGTAAAGATTATTCTTGCTATGCTTTAGCAAAGAGACTGGTGGCATTTTGCCCCTTCCCTAGAGATCTGTAGAAATTTGAACTTGAGACAGATCATTTAGGGTATCTGGTGGGAGAAATTTCTAAGCAGCAAGGATTCAAGAGGTGACAGAGCATAAAAGTTTAGAAAATTTGGAGTCTGAGAATGCAGTAGAAAAGAAAAATCCATTTTCTGGGGAGAAATTCAAGCCTGCCACAGAAATTTGCATAAGTAATGAGGAGCCAAATGCTAATCACCAAGAAAATTGGGAAAACATCTCCAGGGCATGTCAGAGATCTTCACGGCAGCACCTCCCATCACAGGCCCAGAGGCCTAGGAGGGAAAAATGGTTTCCTGGGCCAGGTCCAGGGGCCCAACTGTGTGCAACCTCGAGACTTGGTGCCCTGTGTCCCAGATGCTACAGCCATGGCTAAAAGGGGCCAAGGTACAGCTCAGGCCATTGCTTTAGAGGCTGCAAGCCCCAAGCCTCGGCAGCTTCCACTTGGTGTTGGTCCTGCAGATGCACAGAAGACAAAAATTGAGGTTGGGGAATCTCTGCCTAGATTTCAGAGGCTGTATGTAAATGTCTGGATGTCCAGGCAGAAATCTGCTGCAGGGGTGTAGCCCTCATGGAGAACCTCTGCTACGGCAGAGCAAAAGGAAAATGTGGGGTTGGAGCCCCCAGACAGAGTCCCCTCAGGGGTACTGCCTAGTGGAGCTGTGAGAAGAGGACCACCAACCTCCAGACCCCAGAATGGTAGATCCACTGACAGCTTGCACTGTATGCCTAGAAAAGCCGCAGACACCAAATGCCAGCCTTGAGAGCAGCCAGGAGGGGGGCTGTATCCTGCAAAGCCACAGGAGTGGAGCCACCCAAAGCCATGGGAACCATCCTCTTGCATCATGTGAGACTTGTATTATGTGAGACATGGAATCAAAGGAGATCATTTTGGAACTTTAAGGTTTAATGACTGCCCTATTGGATTTCAGACTTACATGGGGTCTGCAGCCCCTTCATTTTAGCCAATTTCTTCCATTTGGAATGGATGTATTTACCCAATTTCTGTACCCCCATGGTATCTAGGAAATAACTAACTTGCTTTGATTTTACAGGCTCATAGGCAGAAGGGACTTGCTTTGTCTCAGATGAAACTTTGGACTTTGACTTTTGGGTTAATGCTGGAATGAGTTAAGACTTTGGGAGAATGTTGAGAAGGCATGACTGTGTTTTGAAATGTGAGGACATGAGATTTGGGAGGGGCCAGAGGTGGAATGATATGGTTTGGCTGTGTCCCCACCCAAATCTCATCTTGAATTGTAATTCCCATAATACCCATGTGTTGAGAGAGAGAGACCTGGTGGGTGGTAATTAAATCATAGGGGTGGTTCCCCCACGCTGTTCTTATGATAATGAGTGCATTCGCATGAGGTCTGGTGGTTTTATAAGTGTCTGGCATTTCCTCTGCTGGCGCTCTCTCTCTCCTGCCACCCTATGAAGAGGTGCCTTCAACCATGATTGTAAGTTTCCTGAAGCCTCCCAAGCCATGCAAAACTGTGAGTCAATTAAACCTCTTTTCTTTATGAATTACCCAGTCCTGGGTATTCCTTCATATCAGCACGAGAATGGACTAATATACTATGGATGTTCTTTGTTCTGTTGAGCCCAAATCTGAGTTCCTCTGACTGGCCCTGGAATTCATGGACAAATGGGTGTTGAGGTGACTTTCATGCCCACAGAATCCTGACTACCAGGAGAGAACCACACCAACATTTTCCTCTTCATACATACCTACAAATGTATCAATATTTACCTTCCTTTTAATCTTCCTCTCTTTAATCTCCAAGGAAAATGGCCCCCTCCTCCTTTTCAAAGATATCACAGTACTCTTGACTCATCATCTTTTCATCTTCTCTGTAACTTCCCTCACTTGATTTTTCTTTATTACCCCTTCATACCTGTCCACCTGGCTAACTCTGGCTCTTCACCCAAGGCTCAGCTTCCTACAGGAAGCCTTCCATGACCTCCAGGTTCTACAAAGTACCTCTTTTCTAAATTCTGATAGCTTCTGGCATTTATTTCTCTAGTAGAATGTCTCTTTTCCAAAGTATGTATTCATATTTCTATCTCCCCCTTGGGATTATAAATTCCAAAGTTATAGAGATCATGTTTATTTATTTGTGCCTCTGTCATGTACTCCAATTCATGACACAGAATAGGTGCTCTATAAGTATTTATTGAACTGAATCTCACAGTTCTCTGGTTTTAATTTCCCCTATAATACAATTCTTTCATTCATTCAACAACTATTTATTAAGTAGCTATGATGTAGCAGGCACTGTTCAAGAAAGTGAGGATGTAATAGTAAATAAGATAAATGAGATCCTTACCCTCTGGAGGCTTATACCTTTGTTGGGGAAAACTGATGGTAAGAAGTACACAATTATAGAATATAATCTTTCAATAATAATAGGTGCTACAGAGTAAATAAAGCAGGTTTGCTGAGGTAGAGAGGGACTTAGAAGCATGAATACTACATAAATAAGTTTTTCAGGGAGGTTTTATTTGAGCTGATACATGAATAATGAGAAAGACCCAGCTACGGGAAGCAGTGCAGTAAAAGCTTTCCTGGCAGAGGAAATAACAAATGCAAAGGCCCTGAGGTAGGAACGAGCTTGATGTGTTCGGAAAGAAAGGTCTCTGTGGCCAGAGGAGAGTGAAAAGGAAATGATTGGAATGGTGTGAGGTTGGCAAAGTGGTCAGTGAGCAGATGATGACAGCCCTGTGACAGTCTGAGAACCTCACGACACCCAGCAAATAGAGACATCCCATCACAATCCTGTTCTCCACCCTCATCTCCTTTCACTCAACACATTTTACCTGCTTG
Source organism: Homo sapiens (assembly GCF_000001405.40). Classification (NCBI taxonomy): domain Eukaryota; kingdom Metazoa; phylum Chordata; class Mammalia; order Primates; family Hominidae; genus Homo; species Homo sapiens. The sequence goes on along the minus strand of NC_000002.12, from coordinate 20,926,295 downwards.
ATCTCTCTCCTATCACTTAAACCATATCCTCTTTGCTGATGATTCCCAAGTATATAACACTAGCCCAGGCCTCTCTGCTGAGCTCCATAACTGAATACTCAACTCCTATTGGACAATCCATCTGGAAGTACCACTGGCACCTCACACTCAACAGTTGTAAATTGCATTTATCATTCCGCTCCCAAACATGCTACTTCTCCTGCTGAACGGTATTATCATCTGTCCAGTTTCCTAAGCCATTAACTTGAGGGTAAAAGATCACTTCTCTCTCTCCCTCCCACTGCCACATCCCATGATCATTAAGACCTGCTAGAATGGGTTCTTAGGATTCTCCAAGTGATAAGGTCACTGTCCCTAATTCAGTGCTCGTCTCTGGCTTGAACTGCTCAAACAACCTCCAGCTGGTTTCACTGGTCATGTCTATAGTCTATCGAGAGGATGCCCTAAGTACCCACCACCCTCTGCCTGGGTTTAGAGTCTTGCCAGAAGCATCATTTTTCTACTTCTCGCAGGTGATGAGAATGTTCCTCTGTGGACATAGCTGGCCATAGGGTAGCTACTTCCAAGGCTTTTCCCAAGCCAGGCTCCTCCAGGCATCATTTCGGGGCATGATCCTTACATTCTCAGGTCTGCTCAGAAGCTTTGGTCAGTCTTCTTATACCAACCCGTAATGCCTAAACAGCCTCTTCTTTCACTCAAGCCTATCAGAGTGTCCTCTTTGTCACAAGAAGGGAGACAAAGAAAGGTCCCCAGGTAGCCTGGGTGGGCTTCAAGGCATAATTGCCTTGTAATGTGCCCTCTGGGGGAGTTGGCCTGGCCATCAGCACCTTGGAGAGCTCCAGCTCTGACCTCTGTCGGGGAGCTGACTGGACCAGAATCCTGGATTCTTCCTGGAGTGGTGGGGGATGGGAAAAAGAAAAGGACTGAGGCTGAGCACCTCCATTAACCAGATACTCAGCTCAGTGATTTTAGGGATCTCCAAAATACTAATGGTCCCACCTTGGGTTTTGGAGGCTCCACAGCCTCTGTTTAAGTGGTCCACGAGTGGCTGGTGGTTATGATCCTCAGTCCTGGCTAAGCCAGTTTAACACTAAAGACTAGGATTCTGGGCCCAGGCTGCCCAGGAGTCATCAGCTTTTATGATTTCATTTCAGGGTAAGTGCCTATGGAAAGACTAGCCACCTTCAATGTTACCCATCTTTCCCTTTCTGTGCTCCATATAGTAGGTCCCACTTCTGCTGCTCTCACTGTGGATGCACCAGCAACCGCTGCTCCAGCACCACAGAATAAACTGGACAGCAGGAATTTCAGGGATGTGGAGGCTTCAGCTGACCTCTGGGTCAATGCAGCAGGGCCTTACCCATTTTTGGATGTTTCCTCTGGTCATGTGCTCAGAGAATTCTAAGGAGATTAATACACTAGGTCATCTCAGCAGTGACCTTTTATTCCTATTGGACTAGAATCCTCTGAGATGGAATAGAAGCAGGGCTCAGGTCTCCAAGTGAAGATCGTGTATCTCTGTGGAGACTGAGAAAATGTCTCTCTCTCGAATTAATTCATGTGTTCCTCTACTCCTCTTCTCTCTTCCCTCAGATCTCACCCTGCATGGCTGCATCCCCTCCACCCTACCCTGCTCCTGCAATTGCAGCCTTCTATTTGATTACGAAGCGTTTCACGTTTCTCCAGCAGCCCATCCAATCTTCACAACAGCTCAGGGGTGTATGTAGAGCTTTTTCATTATCCCAACTTACAAATGAGAAAACCATGGATGACACTTGGGTGACTTGCCTGACAAACAGAGCTTCTGCCTCCAGGTGACTGCTCTTTATAATGTTTCAAAAACTGCCATCGAACCAGGACCCCACCATAGTGCCATGAAACTCTTTATCCCAGGGTTGTAATGCTGCCAAAGAGGAAACATTGCCTAAAAGTAGGAAACCTACGTTTTTAGGATTATGCTTATATGTCTGGAGTACGTCAAAGTCCATCTGCTATTCTCTGCCTGCAGAACACAAACAAAAACCCAGTTCTCTGGAAGTCTGTCAACAGCTTCCTCTGAGGTTTTTAAGATTTCCTGGGGACACTTCTACCCCCTCACACATAAAGGTCAACCAAGGCTCCAAAGGAAAGAGCAATTAAAAAAAAACTCATGGGCAACATTTTGATCCTTATTTTGTCAGGTCTGCCTTTAACGCTTCAGTGTACAACTTCCTCAGAAATAAGATTCTGAATTCAGTAAAGGCAGAGGCATTCAGCTGTGCCCTTGTGTCCAAATTCCTGAGAGAGGTGGCCATCCAGGGAAGATGTTCCTAATTAGCCAAGGAAATTGTGGGGATGTGGGGGAGGGTCTATCTTCTGCAGCTGCAGTCAGGAGCAGCTGTGCTGATGCACGTGCTGGTCTCAAAGGATACGGTTTTCCTCCAAGTTTAGTTACAGTATGTCACTCCACATTGTAGTTTTAGCCATAGTAGACCACCTGAAACTCAAGGCCACATAGAGTGCCTCAAGTTGAAGACCAACAAACATACATGTCTCTCTCTCTCTCCCCTTTCTCTACAGCAACACCCTTCAGAATTAGCAAACATTATTTGTATGGCAGGGACACCTTATTCTCTAACAGGAAAAAAAAACTCCTTATTTTTGTTTGATTACTTTTGAAGCCCAATTACAATTTCGCTTTGCATAACAGATGTGTTCTTGAAGGTATGAGGGTAAATCACTTTCTGTGTAGGTGAATCAAATCCTATTTGAAATTTATTCTATAAGAAAACTCAGCCCTCAACCCTTTTACAAAGAGAGAATCTCTGTTGCAAGTTGAAGAATCACTCATCACCTTTAACAGTTAGGGCTGGTCAGACAAAGAGCTTTCCTTTTCCCAAGGGGTACGAGACAGCCCCACCTCAAAATGTCCCACCTGATGGACTCTATCTTTACTTTCTTTCTCCTAGGGTAAAATAGGTCAGACAGCCCAGCCCATCCAAGCACCTCGAACTCCCCCCATTTCCTCTCCTCTCTTCTCAGGGGTCCTATCCTACAATTGCAGCCTTCCAGGGCCCTCATGCTTTCTGTACCCTGCAGAAATGTCTGCTCTGAAAGACAAAGCAATGCTAGCCACTTACCCCAACAAGACAGTCAGTCTCCATCTTCTGGGGTATTCATTCTTACCCTGAATTCTATCCAGGTTAGGAAAGGTTGTCTTCTGAGAAGGGATTTCCAGGTTCATAGGAAGATCAAGTGGAGGAAGAATGTCTGGGGATGGAGGAGTCTGCTGGGGACCATTAGTCTATTCTCCCTACATGTAAGAACAATCCCAGAAAGGGCTGCCTTAATGCAAGAGGGGTCACCCTTAAAGTGTTGTCTGGAATTGGGTGCTGAGCACTCGCCAGATAGAATCTGCAGTCAGGAGGGAGAGGGTGAAGAGAAGACTGCAGCAGCCATGAGTGAGCATCCAACACACCCAAGAGCAAGGCCTCTTCTTGCCTCCTTAGGTGAAAAGTGGGCAGGGTGGGCCCCTCTGTGACATTCCATCGCAGGTCGTGGCTCACTGGGTAGATGCCATCTGTGGGCTGAGAATTCATGGAGGCCACTTCTGCAGCCTGCAGTAGGCACAATATGAGATGGCCCAGCCAGGAAAAGCAGGAGTTTGAGAAAGGAAGCTGCACAGCTCTTGATATTCAAGTTAAACACTTAGAAAATGACCCGTCGTGTTCGGCTTAAACTTTTCCATACGCTCAACATCATTAGAATTTCTTCTTAACGACACAAATCATCCTCAGGATCCGGGACAGCTGGATGAAAAAATGTTCTGTTCCCCACCCTTTCCCTTGAGTTCTTATAATGAAGGTGCTTAGTTAACACAAATTACCAGCTTTGCTTTCTACTTTTCTGACAGATGAACAAACATAAAATCATCATTTTATATAGGCCCTGCTGGCCAAATCCATTTCAATTATGTATCACCAGGGCAGAATTCTCCTGGTGAGATGGAAAGACACTGATGGAGGTTTCCGGGTTGTACAATGGACTCCAGTAAGCAGCCTGTTTCACACTCCATGCTGGAATGTAAGAAGGCCTCAGCTATAAACCAAACTACAGAGATGGAATGTCTAACTTATTTTTAAAAATAATGAAACACTTTTTTACTAGCATAAATTAGGAAAAAGAGATAGAGAATACAGTTGAAGGAGGCCTGGGTGGGATGCAGAAGGCCTAAATTCTCATCCCAGCCCACCAACAATTCTCTGTGGGGCCTGGATATGTCCTTGTCACATTCCAGGCCTCAGTTTACTCATCTGTAGTGTACAGGGGTAGACTCATTCAGTGTTTTCATATCATGTGCTTTGGATCCCAAAGACCCATGAAGTTACTTTATGGATTTCAGAAATGTTTCATTTCAAAACTTAATATACAAAAAAATTTTTTTGTCATTGATAACACTGTGATTTAATACAATCGATAAGATAGCCAGTCCTAACACCGTGCAGATGAACAACTAAAACACTGTGTGACCACATGAACTCATTTTTTTTTTGAAATCTCATCACAGAGCTCCTCCTGCCACTTGTCTGATTAATTGTAGGGCTCTGAGGTCACAAGACAGATTGTCACAGAACAATAATCATTTGCATCTACTCAGCACTGAAAAGTAGGATTTTCTCCAAGCTGTGAAAACAAAATAAAATATGGAGGTAAATTGGATTCTGAAACTGAACTAAGACACGGATCCCCATAAATGCCCAATTTCTAATTTTGGTGCTGATTAAAACAGCTTCATTGTGCTTTTCTATTTGTCATAAGTTTGAGATAATAAAATAAATATATTTGTCGACATGATAAATCAATTTATTATTAGTCAATTAATATAAAAAATAATAAATAAATATGCATATCTTCATAAAATAATGCTCTGTCTGTTTTTGTAGCTTAAAGATTCCATATTAAATTTCATTTGAAAAAGTGGTTCCAGTCCTTTACGAAGTCTGAAAACCACTGAACTAATTACCTCCTATTTTCCTTCCCACAAGAGGATACTTTATTCAAATCTTTCTCTGGGGATAGAAGAATTGTATGACTTCAGGAAGTTTCTAGCTTAATCAGAACATTCGTAAGAAAAACAAACAAACAAACTTGGTCCCCACAGCTACAGCTTGCCCTTCTCAGCACTGCCCCTTCTCCTTGTGAAGGGGTTCAAGGTGGCCCTGGTGTGAGCCTGTGCCCCGAGCCAGTCGGTTACTGTGCTAGATGCAGAAGGTGCCAGAAGGCTCCCTCGATGGCTCACCCAGCCTAGTGGCAGAGACTTACCTGTCAATGTGCACAGTGATACATGGAAAAATGTGCTCAGGAAGGGAGGCAGCCTAACCTTGTCTGAGCATCTCTTCCATGCCAGGCTTCATAGTGGGCATATTACACATGCCATTTTAAAAATTCTATTATCGCTACTCAAAATTCTTTGCAATATTGTTTGCCTCTTACAGGAGAAGTGATGGAGGAGGTTACACAGGCATTGGGTGGCAGAGGCAGATCTTAGTTCATCACTACCCATACTCCCCACCAAAAGTAAGCTCCAGGTGGGTGGTAAAAAGCATCGCACACTCCCCAGTGTGAAGTCCAGAGGGAGGGCCATTTGTCAGACCCTGGCAGTCAGGGAAGACTGCAAGGATGGTGGCATCTGAGCTCGATCTTGAAGGATGAGTAGAAATTCTCCAAGAGGGAAAGAGAAAAATTTTTCCAGGTGGTGGAAACAATGTGAGAAAAACAGAAAGGTTTTAGGAGAATGGCTGTTCAGCTGGCACACACACACACACACACACACACACACACACACACACACACACAAACCATCTTATGTGGCAGGGATGAGAGGTGTGGATGAGAACACAGGGACCAGCCAGGCAGGGTGGTGACAGCCGGGGTCCTCAGTGCTAGAGACTCAACCCAATATTCTGGGCCTCCACACTGCCCTGGTCTCCCACCCTCACTTTCCACTGCCCTGGCACAAAGACCCTGGCCACCAGTGACTCAGACTGTCCTCTATGCCTTTGTTCCCACTGCCCTGTCCACCTGGAGAGCCTTCCCTTGCCCACTTCTGCCTAGGGAAGTCTTTGCTGAGGTCCCAGCCCAGCCAAATCCCACCTCTTATCCATAGCCTTCCACACCTGATTCCCTCAACCAGATGAGATCTCTTGCCTTTGAAGACCCAGAGTTCTAATAGTAGATCAAAGTAAAGCCTCAGTGGATGACTGGATGATTGGATGATCACAGAGTGAATGTGTTGTCTTGGCAAGAAAAATTCTTGAGGAAAGATACTGAAATAGAGTCTGCGGCCTCAGCCTCAGTAACATCTTCAGGCCATCTTCACAATCCAGTTAACAGGCCAACAAGCTCTGCACTCAGACTCTCAGCCCCTGCCCTAACTCTTATAGCTTCAGACACTGGAATCCCTATCCTTGAAGCCAGGCAAGACCCTCGCTGAGCTGGGCATAGCCCTGCGTATAGCGTGCTCTAACTCTCCTTTCTGCAATTTCAGGACATTTCCTTTCCCAATGGCAGAGGTCCTAGCATCTAGGAGGTGCTCAGGAAATATTTGAATGTTTGTTGAACCCAATTGAACTGGAGCTGGGGCGCAGAACTCTTCCACCCGCACTGAGGGAAACATTCAGAGCAACCCTACAGAACAAAGCCCGGCCTTGGTGGCCAGCTCAGTGTGCCCAGAACATCACATGACTGGACATGAAAGGGCTGAGGAGGATGCTTGCTGGAGGGGCACTTAGCCTGGAAAACCTGAAAGCATCCCCTTGACTAAGAGCCGCTAACCACAGCCTCAATGAATGATTAATGATTATGACCGGAGCTTATTGCAAACAGGCATGTGACAGCAGAGCCACTACCCACCCGCAGGACCTGCCCATGTGATTGATGAGCCACCGAGGTGTGCAGGGGGCTGCAGGGAAAAAGGGGCAGCTCAAGCAGCAGCTGCTGGGGGTCACCCATCCTTGGAGGGGGCAGAGAGATGCCAGCGTCTGTGTTCTGGGCTGCAGCTCATCTCACAAAAGCCGTACCAGCCAACCTGCATTATCTACCCAGGCGACGATAGGAGGGCGTGGGGGCCTGGGTCAAACACTAATAAGGAGTGAGGTGCAGAAATGGGTGAGATGGCCTGGGAGGGGTCCCTATCCAGTGCGTGCATCGGGTAGGATAACTGCAGTTTTGGAACTACGAGGAGTGTGCAAGGTGCTCTGAGAGAAAACTGTGTGCTCTGCATGGACACAGCAGCTGCAAGAAATGTGTTATCTGGCCTAAGACATTCCCCCAGCCCTCCACACAACCACTGCCAGCCAGAGACAGACTTTCCTAGGACCCCATATCGCTTTTCAACGGGATCTGCAAAGGAGAGGAGAGGGTGGCTGAAGTCAAGTTCTCATTCTGGTGCTTTCTTTCTTCTCCACAGGGCCAGTCCGCAGCCAGAGAGCTAAGTTAGCACAACGTCCTCACCCTGCCGACCACTCCTAGCCAGAACCCTCCAGGATGCCCAAGCCGAGCTCTCTGTTTCCCCTTCCAAAGCCAGGTCCAGCAGGAGACTGGGCTTGGCTCTCTGATGGATTCAGGACAGGGGACAAATCAGCCACATTCATGGAGCAGGGACTGTGGGAGATGAGGAAGGCACAGCCCCTACCTTCAGGAGTTTGTATTCTCGTTAGCAAGACAAGCTTCCCTCCTGCCAAACAAGCTCAGACTGAACAAAGCATCAGCCCTGAATGTGCTGCCGAGAGGGAATGAGAAAAGGGACAGCAACATTGGGATGAGAGGCTTTCGGGAGAGGCCAGAAAACCTGAGAAGGGCCGTTGAGGCCCCTGCTGGGCTGCAGGCTTCTACCCATGACAGGGCCACTGCCCAACCTGGGCCACCAAAGTATACAAGGCCACCATTCCCACCCAGGTCTTCAGAGGCACCTCTGAGTGGCCCCGAGGCAGTGGCAGCAGGCGAGTTCAGCAGGGAACCGAGACCTCTTTGAGACAACGCAGAGAGCCAGCCAGGAGCCCAGGGACAACCCTTGTGGGGGCCGGGCTGCTCAGTGGATCTGGCTCTGTTTCATCTTAATACACTCCTGCATGTACCTGATATCTGATACTCGTCCTACAGCATGCAAATCTAATAAATTCTTGGCTCCTGCAAGTTTCTTCAAAAATATAAAAGAGGATCATATATAAAGAAGTTGATTAATATACACCCTGCTAAAACAGCCTGGAACATCTGTGTATTAAGTTCATTTATTAAATTACACCAATCTGTATTTTAATGAGTGAAAGATACAGTACTTATTCTGTCATCCATCAAAATAAACTCAGGAAATACTTAACATTATAATCATTTTTCTTGTTTGAACACGAGTTATGAAATATGAATCCCACACTAAGAATGCTGGGCTTGCCGTCATGATCAAATATGTTTTCACAGGTGCAGCAAATATTCAGTTTTCATTTCTTTCTCCAACTGTTGAAAATATAAACCATGTTTTCTATTCCTTCACTGGGTAACTCTGCCTTCCCTCCACATGGCATCCATTATTGCAGACTTATTACCCCACCGTCTTTTTCCCCCCAAACCCACTCCTCCTAAAGTTGCTTCGTAATGAAAACACAGGCTTCTGTGGGGCCCCCACAGCACAAGCTCTTCCCCGGGGCGGGGGGGTCTTTGGGCTCAGGCTGGGGCACTGTCCTTTACTTCCATCCTAATGGCAGCCACGTCCTCTTGGTTGGAGCCTGAGTTCTGGAAGCTGTTTGAAGCAAACAGTCCATCTGGTCAAAAACACAAATGGCATGGAGCCCTCCAGCCACAGTGAAGCCAACAGTGAAGCTGGAGCGTCTCCAGGTCCACTGGCTGCCTCTCAGAAATATCCCACTAAGACGAGGGGGCAACTTTAATAGGAGCCGAAGCCTCAGGAGTGAGTCCAGAGTTTACCTGCGTTCAGCTATCCTTGGACCAGAAGTCTCGGGACTCTTGGAATAAAACTACTCACAAAGCAGCAAGTTTCCAGGAGCTGAGGAAGGCCAGTGCCTGTGCCCAGTGTCAGTGGGAGCTCATCGTGTCGGAGGATTCTGGGAAAAGCTCCAGCTATGTAATCTGCTGAGCAGGGCCAGCCCTATAGGAGGCACATGAACCCAGTCACAAGCTGGCCAGGCTTCTTCCTGTATAACTCACTCTGTGGCGCCCCATCACCAGCAGGGAAGTCACACTTCCACCACACGGCTTCTGCCTCTCTTGGATTTCATTTCTGGCTGCTCCTACCTGGTCCCCTAACACATCCACGACTCACACACTTTACCATTCAGCCCTGCTGAGCTACCACCTGCTGGGGCACAAATCTTCCATGTTCTCTCCTACCCCAGGTTTTGCTCTTGCTGTTCCCTCTTCCCAGAATACACTTCTTTGTTCTTCTTTTTCTTCACCTGGTTAATTATTTAACTTTGATCGCAGGACTCACACCATGGGAAAGCCCTGTGGAGAAGGCCACTCATTTTGACCACTAGGAGTCAGGGAAACCTCACAGAGAAGGTGACGTGGACCCAAGAGCCAGAACTGTCCAGGAGGGAAGGATGGGGAGGCATTCAAGGCAGAAGGAAGCCTATTAGCAAAGGCACAGGGTGCAGAGCACTAGAGCTATTTGCAGATGGAGAGGCAGAGAGAGATGGGTGGGGCACAGGAGATGGGGCAGGGATGAGAGTTTTGGAGCCAGATTAGGGAGGATCTTGTGTGCTGGGCCAAGGGATCTTATGCTATAGATAAAGGAGAAGTTTTGAAAGGCTTTAAAAATTCAAGGGATGTGTTCAGATTTGGATTTTAGAAATGACGGCTACTGGTGATTCAGTGTAAATAAGGGCATTTGTGAGAGATCCTGGAGCTGGCAGAGAGGCTAGTGGGACCCTGCTAGAGTAATGGAGGCAGGTGTCTTGGGCCTGGGTGGAGGCAGTGCAGGGCACCTCCCCACATGCCAGGAACATTGCACAGGAGGTGTGCAGGAGCAATTCTGAGGAATTGCACTGATTGCCCAGGCTCCCAGCCTCCCCAGGAGCAGGCTCCAGCTCTCCTGCGCCTGAGGAACCCAGTATCCTCAGTCCAACCTTCTAGGCCTTGAATCTGCTTGGTCTGTAGCCAGAAGACCTGCTGATTCTCGTAGGATGCAAGCCTAGGGACCTTCCTCCCCAGCCCTCACTTCCCCTCCCTCCCCACTCCACACCCACCTTTAACAAGATCCAGAAACCTGAAACAGCATCCTTCTGGGTGATTTGAGAGTGAGCCTTTGACACCCCATACAAAGACGGGAACAAGTCATAAATAGGCAATTCACAGAGAGGAAGCATCAGTAGCTAATACTCCCTGTGATTTTCTGAGTAGTTCACAGCAGATATGGCACAGACGCTGACTAATCCAAACAGGCTCAGGCTGCAGCACTGTTGCAGGGTCATGGGAGTGCCCCTCAGGGTCAGGCACCCCTGTGAATACTGGATTATGGGGAGGCCCAGGGCAGGGGTCCCAGTGGAGGGGCTGCGTTGGGGAAGCCAGTGCGGAGGAGCATTTGGGGGCTCAGACAGAGGCTATTTCAACAACTGGCTCCTGCTGGCTGAATATCAGCTTTACTAATGAGCACATAAAGAGATGTTGAAGCTCACCCATGATTGGGGAAATGCAAATGAAAATAACAATGAGTTCCCACTTCACAGGTCAGATTGGCAGGGAGATATCCCCCAGATGCCCATTCAAAGAAGGGAGCACAAGGCATGCAGTCAGCAAACAGTCTCGCTGTGGGTCAGCCCCAGCAGCAGAGGAAAGATGGACTATGACAGCCTGGCCGTCTCAGCAGTACTCACTCCAGGGCTCCACAGGGTCAGCAAGGCTTTGCCGTGCCCACTTCCTAGTTCAACTTCTTCCACTACTCAGTCTCACTTCCTCCCGCTTTTCCTCATAGGTGCTGACCCCTTATAATCAGCTTTTTGTTCACCAACCACCCTCTCAGTGTCTCTGGAGAACCCAGCCTGCGAACCAGAGGGAGTCAATACTCACACATTGCTGGTGGGAGAATAGGCTGGTGCAGGCCCTTTAGAGAGAAGTCTGACAACACCTAGTGAGATGAAGTGTGCATACTCTCTAAACCCCAGCAATCCCACAGCTGGGGGTATGCCCCAGAGAGCCTAGCTCACCTCCCTCACCCACCCACAAGGAGAGGTGGCCAAGCATGGCTGGCCCAGCATTGTGTCTGATAGCAGACAGGCCATGGGCAATCTCGGCATCCGTTGCCAGGGATATGGGTGTGTTGCATGTAGTGATGAGCACATGTTGGGATTCCATGTGACAGTAAGACATGCTGAAAATGTGTCTGCATAGAGCAACACGTGGAGTTCTCAAGCACAAGAGAACTCAAGATCAGAACGCAAGGCAAGGATTTGAGTGCAACTCATTTGCTCAGGCAGTGATCTCTGGAAGCGCTGTTGGAGAGCTGGGTATTCTCACCATGTTGATTGAGGGCTGCTCCCAGGGCATTCATTGCCCTCCACTTCCAGCCTGCCTTTCTCTTACCACCAGAGAGAGCCCTCAAAGACTTCTAGGAGCACACAGTAAAAGCCACTGGCACATCCAGGAACAGTGGGTGACAAAGGAATGTGGATGCAGCCCTGAGAGCAGCGCTCAGATAAGCGACAGTGAGATGTAGAGCACAGAACTTCGTGCAAGGTGCAGGCACACGATGTATTTTAAATGGCTACACAGATGTCTAAAGAAAGTATGGAAGATGGTCTGGAATTGCATGCATTAGCACCCTAGAGTAGTGCTCTGATCACCTACTATTCAGGCCCTTGGTGAAGGAGGGATTCCCAACATCGGATAGGTGATACTGACAGCAGCTTAGTCACGTACATTCACAGCCGGGGAAGGAGGACATGGCACACCATGCAGGGCCACATGGGGGTTGCACTTGGGAGCTGAGTGACCTAGAAGGGGCAGCTCTGTAGTAACAGGAGGCAGGGGTGCACCCTAGTTACCTGGAAGGATGTGGTTGGCTTGTTTGAATAATTTCCTGGGTTGGCAGGGAGGTGAAACCCCTTGGGCTGGGGATTGGGTGGGGCGCAGCTGGCACAATTGATAGGGGATTTAGCTAGGTGGGGAGCCTTTCTTGCTGGGTGGGAGCATATTTGGCAAGAGCAGGGGAACTCACAACTAAGCCTCAGGGGCCTGTGAGGCTCAAAGGTGTTGATGTAGGACCTTAGAAATGGGTTCCTATGGAGAGAGAGAATGGGACAGAGATGGGGACAAAATAAAGCAAAACAAAAGACAAGTCTTGATGTTAGTGTTACGGGGCCTCATTCTATACACTTGAGGCCCTCAGAAGTAAGAATACTATTTTTTTAAATTACAGGAAGGGAGAAAGAATGGGGTTCAGGTTGGGGGAAGGGATGGACTAGGCTCTCAAATACAACCAGGCTGCAGGCCAGGGGTCTGTGTTCTCATGGAACAGAAAATGCTCTTTGTTACAAAATGTCCTGGGAGCGATTGCCCATTGAGATAGCAAGAATAGAGGGAAATAAAACTTCAAACAGAGTTTAATGGATGAGCTAAGCCAATTGGGTGGTGAGACAGGCTGCTCTGAGTGAGAGCAGAGCGGGACAAGAGCCGGAGGCAGAGGCTGCTAGGGGACACAGTGGGGATAAGAGCTTGTTTTCTCTGTCACTCAGACACCTTCCCCTGGGAAAAATGGTAGAATTACCTTCTGGTGTCCAGAGGGAGCAGTGTAAGACCTGGACACCTAATAAAATATAATGAGGCAAGTTATAATTACGAAGCTTCTAGACATTGGGACTTTTCTGAAACTTTGACAGGGACAAGGCTGAGATCAGCAACTACAGATACTTCACACTAGCCTGTGTCACTAGGGTGGGAGGTGGGGTGGGGGGATAGCAGGAGGCCGTGTGTCCTCTGAGCTGTCATATCACTCTTCTGAAATCCAGCAGGAAACCCAGGTTAGACCGCTGCACCTATAGATAGCACCCCCAAATCAAAGCCTGCTTTTCTGTCTAAGGAGCCCACTGGTCAGAGATTAGTAGCTCTCTGACTGCACCCTCTCCTTTCAGGTATGGCAAGGAGTATCCTGAGCTAGAAAGCCCTCCAGAGCCCCAGAGAAAGTCTTTCTGTGCAGAACTAAAAGGGTAGCACTCTTCTGTCTCCTCTCTCTCTCTCTCTCTCTCTCTCACACACACACACACACACACACACACACACGCATGCAATCCTGGCCTAAGGAACCCTCAGAGCACACACACCTGGTACAGTGGAGAGAGACTTTGGAGACCTGAAATCTGGAAGAGTCTACACTGCAGATTCATACCCACTGCTGTCTGTGTCCTTGGACAAGTTACTACAAGACCCACGCTATGTGGCCTTGGGGAAATGTTCTTCCCTTCCAAGCCTCTATTTCCTGGCAAACGAGAATAAAGTCTGTCTTGCTTAGCTGTCACAATTGGGTGAAAAATTCAACTGGATAACAAATGGGAAGTAACCTAGAAATACGAAGCCCTGGACAAATGCAGTCCAGGCAGCCACCACAATCTGCCCTGTGTGAGATTCTCATGAAAACTGAGGCTAGGACTCCAAGTGGCCAGAGGGAAGAGAGGCTGGTTCTGCTGTTGATCAGAAGGGACCCAGGTTCCCCCGTCACCCAGCTCTTAGCCAACTGCAACCACCCTGCCCCAACCACCTGGCCACATTTCCCTCAGAGGACACCTCCCACTGACCCTCCAGCTATCGGCTGATCTCACTGGCAATAGTGCTGACAGACATTTGTCCTACTATCTGCTTTGATGTGGAAGCCTCAGCAATGTTCCTAATTGTTTCCTGAACCACTCGGCCAGCTCCATGGTGTTTCCCCTCGACGGCATGGGCAGAGATGCCATAAAACAAACTTGTCTTTGAAATTAACCCTCAGAGGCTGCTCTCTGGAAGTGGCCTGGTTCATTTTTTTTTTTTTCTACAGGGTCACGGACATAACTCAGATTTAGATGTGTCCAAAATGAATTCATGTGTACATTATTCTTGAAATATGCAGTTCCAGATTGTGTTTCATTCACATAGGAAGCAAAACACCAAAGCCAAGATGCTAAAGTCTAATCCTACTTAATTCTAGCCCAGCAATTCCTAAAGTGTGGTCTATGGGGCTCTAGGGTCCCCAAGACCCTTTCAGGAGATCCAGGAGGTCAAGACTGATATTCATACTAATACCAAGACAGTATTTACCTTGCTCTGTCCTGACATTTGTATCAGTGATGTACAGGACAGTTGAATTCTTCACCTCCACACATTCGCAGGAATTTTTTTTAAAAAAAGGTAGCTTGAATTAAGAATGTTCTTGAAAAGCCCTATTTTCTGGGCTATCTAATACAGTAGTCCTATGTGGCTGTTGTACACTTTTTCTAGTCTGAATTTAGGAGTGCTATGAGAGCGAAATGAATAACAGATTTCAAAGACAATACAAGAAAAGAATGTCAAATATCTCATAAACAATGACTATTGATTATATGTTGAAATATTTTGAAAATACTGGGTTAAATAGAATATATTATTTTAAAAAACAATGTTCTTGATGAAACCATAAAAGTTATCAATTTTATTGAAGCCAATCTTTTTAATAGTCTATGTGATAGGGGGTGGAGCCAAGATGGCCAAATAGGAACAGCTCCAGTCTACAGCTCCCAGCGTGAGCGACGCAGAAGACGGGTGATTTCTGCATTTCCAACTGAGGTACTGGGTTCATCTCACCGGGGAGTGCCAGGCAGTGGGTGCGGGACAGTGGGTACAGCTCACCATGCATGAGCCAAAGCAGGGTGCGGCATCACCTCACCAGGGAAGCGCAAGGGGTCAGGGAATTCCCTTTCCTAGTCAAAGAAAGGGGTGACAGACGGCACTTGGAAAATTGGGTAACTCCCACCCTAATACTGCGCTTTTCCAATGGGCCTAACAAACGGCACACCAGGAGATTATGTCCCGCACAGGACTCGGAGGGTCCTATGCCCACGGAGCCTCATTCATTGCTAGCATAGCAGTCTGAGATCAAACTGCAAGGCGGCAGTGAGGCTGGGGGAAGTGCACCCACCATTGCCCAGGCTTGAGTAGGTAAACAGAGCTGGGAAGCTCGAACTGAGTGGAGCCCACCACAGCTCAAGGAGGCCTGCCTGCCTCTATAGGCTCCACCTCTGGGGGCAGGGTACAGACAAACAAAAGACAGCAATAACCTCTGCAGACTTAAATGTCTCTGTCTGACAGCTTTGAAGAGAGTAGTGGTTCTCCCAGCACACAGCTTGAGATCTCAGAATGAACAGACTGCCTCCTCAAGTGGGTCCCTGACCCCCGAGTAGCCTAACTGGGAGGCACCCCCCCATAGGGGAGGACTGACACCTCACACAGCCAGGTACTCCTCTGAGACAAAACTTCCAGAGGAATGATCAGGCAGCAGCATTTGTGGTTCACCAATATCTGCTGTTCCGTAGCCATGGCTGCTGATACCCAGGCAAACAGGTTCTGGAGTGGACCTCCAGTAAACTCCAACAGACCTGCAGCTGAGGGTCCTGACTGTTAGAAGGAAAACTAACAAACAGAAAGGACATCCACACCAAAAACCCATCTGCACGTCACCATCATCAAAGACCAAATGTAGATAAAACCACAAAGATGCAGAAAAAACAGAGCAGAAAAACTGGAAACTCTAAAAATCAGAGCACCTCTCCTCTTCCAAAGGAACGCAGCTCCTCACCAGCAATGGAACAAAGCTGGATGGAGAACGGCTTTGATGAGTTGAGAGAAGAAGGCTTCAGAAGATCAAACTACTCTGAGCTAAAGGAGGAAGTTCGAACCAATGGCAAAGAAGTTAAAAACTTTGAAAAAAAATTAGACAAATGGATAACTAGAATAACCAACGCAGAGAAGTCCTTAAAGGACCTGATGGAACTGAAAACCACCACATGAGAACTACGTGATGAATGCACAAGCCTCAGTAACCGATGCAATCAACTGGAAGAAAGGGTATCAGCGATGGAAGATGAAATGAATGCAATGAAGTCAGAAGAGAAGTTTAGAGAAAAAAAATAAAAAGAAATGAACAAAAATAAAAAGAAATGAACAAAGTGGGACTATGTGAAAAGACAAAATCTACGTCTGATTGGTGTACCTGAAAGTGATGGGGAGAATGGAACCAAGTTGGAAAACACTCTGCAGGATATTATCCAGGAGAACTTCCCCAATCTAGCAAGGCAGGCCAACATTCAAATTCAGGAAATACAGAGAATGCCACAAAGATACTCCTCGAGAATAGCAACTCCAAGACACATAATTGTCAGATTCACCAAAGTTGAAATGAAGGAAAAAATGTTAAGGGCAGCCAGAGAGAAATGTCAGGTTACCCACAAAGGGAAGCCCATTGGACTAACAGCTGATCTCTCGGCAGAAACTCCACAAGCCAGAAGAGAGTGGGGGCCAATATTCAACATTCTTAAAGAAAAGAATTTTTAACCCAGAATTTCATATCCAGCCAAACTAAGCTTCATAAGTGAAGGAGAAATAAAATCCTTCACAGACAAGCAAATGCTAAGAGATTTTGTCACCACCAGGCCTGCCCTAAAGGAGCTCCTGAAGGAAGCACTAAACATGGAAAGGAACAACCGGTACCAGCCACTGCAAAAACATGCCAAATTGTAAAGACCATCAAGGCTAGGAAGAAACTGCATCAACTAACGAGTTGATAACCAGCTAACATCATAATGACAGGATCAAATTCACACATAACAATACTAACCTTAAATGTAAATGGGCTAAATGCTCCAGTTAAAAGGCACAGACTGGCAGATTGGATAAAGAGTCAAGACCCATCAGTGTGCTGTATTCAGGAGCCCCATCTCACATGCAGAGACACACATAGGCTCAAAATAAAGGGATGGAGAAAGATCTAACAAGCAAATGGAAAACAAAAAAAGGCAGGGGTTGCAATCCTAGTCTCTGATAAAACAGACTTTAAGCCAACAAAGATCAAAAGAGAAAAAGAAGGCCATTACATAATGGTAAAGGGATCAATTCAACAAGAAGTGCTAACTATACTAAATATATATGCACCCAATACAGGAGCACCCAGATTCATAAAGCAAGTCCTTAGTGACCTACAGAGACTTAGACTCCCACACAATAATAATGGGAGACTTTAACACCCCACTGTCAACATTAGACAGATCAACGAGACAGAAAGTTAACAAGGATATCCAGGAATTGAACTCAGCTCTGCACCAGGTGGACCTAACAGACATTGACAGAACTCTCCACCCCAAACCAACAGAATATACATTCTTCTCAGCACCACACCATACCTATTGCAAAATTGACCACATAGTTGGAAGTAAAGCTCTCCTCAGCAAATGTAAAAGAATAGAAATTATAACAAAGTGTCTCTCAGACCACAGTGCAATCAAAGTAGAACTCAGGATTAAGAAACTTACTCAAAACTGCTCAACTACATGGAAACTGAACAACCTGCTCCAGAATGACTACTGGGTACATAATGAAATGAAGGAAGAAATAAAGATGTTCTTTCACAAAGACACTACATACCAGAATCTCTGGGACACATTCAAAGCAGTGTGTAGACGGAAATTTATAGCACTAAATGCCCACAAGAGAAAGCAGGAAAGATCTAAAATTGACGCCCTAATATCACAATTAAAAGAACTAGAGAAGCAAGAGCAAACACATTCAAAAGCTAGCAGAAGGCAAGAAATAACTAAAATCAGAGCAGAACTGAAGGAAATAGAAACACGAAAAACTCTTCAAAAAATCAACGAATCCAGGAGCTGGTTTTTTGAAAAGATCAACAAAATTGATAGACCACTAGCAAGACTAATAAAGAAGAAAAGAGAGAAGAATCAAATAGACACAATAAAAAATGACAAAGGGGATATCACCACCGATCCCACAGAAATACAAACTGCCATCAGAGAATACTATAAACACCTCTATGCAAATAAACTAGAAAATCTAGAAGACATGGATAAATTCCTCGACACATACACCCTCCCAAGACTAAACCAGGAAGAAGTTGAATCTCTGAATAGATCAATAACAGGCTCTGAAATTGAGGCAATAATTAATAGCTTACCAACCAAAAACTGCCCAGGACCAGATGGATTCACAGCCTAATTCTACCAGAGGTACAAGGAGGAGCTGGTGCCATTCCTTCTAAAACTATTCCCATCAATAGAAAAAGAGGGAATCCTCCCTAACTCATTTTATGAAGCCAGCATCATCCTGATACCAAAGCCAGGCAGAGACACAACAAAAAAAGAGAATTTTAGACCAATATCCTTGATGAACATTGATGCAAAAATCCTCAATAAAATTCTGGCAAACCAAATCCAGCAACACATCAGAAAGCTTATCCACCATGATCAAGTGGGCTTCATCCCTGGGATGCAAGGCTGGTTCAACATACGCAAATCAATAAACGTAATCCAGCATATAAACAGAACCAAAGACAAAAACCACATGATTATCTCAATACATGCAGAAAAGGCCTTTGACAAAATTCAACAACGCTTCATGCTAAAAACTCTCAATAAATTAGGTATTGATGGGACATATCTCAAAATAATAAGAGCTATTTATGACAAACCCACAGCCAATATCATACTGAGTGGGCAAAAACTGGAAGCATTCCCTTTGAAAACTGGCACAAGACAGGGATGCCCTCTCTCACCACTCCTATTCAACATAGTGGTGGAAGTTCTGGCCAGGGCAATCAGGCAGGGGAAGGAAATAAAGGGCATTCAATTAGGAAAAGAGGAAGTCAAATTGTCCCTGTTTGCAGATGACATGATTGTATATCTAGAAAACCCCATTGTCTCAGCCCAAAATCTCCTTAAGCTGATAAGCAACTTCAGCAAAGTCTCAAGATACAAAATCAATGTGCAAAAATCACAAGCATTCTTATACACCAATAACAGACAAACAGAGAGCCAAATCATGAGTGAACTCCCATTCACAATTGCTTCAAAGGGAATAAAGTACCTAGGAATCCAACTTACAAGGGATGTGAAGCACCTCTTCAAGGAGAACTACAAACCACTGCTCAATGAAATAAAAGAGGATAACAACAGATGGAAGAACATTCCATGCTCATGGGTAGGAAGAATCAATATTGTGAAAATGGCCATACTGCCCAAGGTAATTTACAGATTCAATGCCATTCCCATCAAGCTACCAATGACTTTCTTCACAGAATTGGAAAAAACTACTTTAAAGTTCATATGGAACCAAAAAAGAGCCCGCATTGCCAAGTCAATCCTAAGCCAAAAGAACAAAGCTGGAGGCATCACACTACCTGACTTCAAACTATACTACAAGGCTACAGTAACCTAAAAGGCTACAGTAACCAAAACAGGATGGTACTGGTACCAAAACAGAGATATAGATCAATGGAACAGAACAGAGCCCTCAGAAATAATGCCGCATATCTACAACTATCTGATCTTTGACAAACCTGACAAAAACAAGAAATGGGGAAAGGATTCCCTATTTAATAAATGATGCTGGGAAAACTGGCTAGCCATATGTAGAAAGCTGAAACTGGATCCCTTCCTTACACCTTATACAAAAATTAATTCAAGATGGATTAAAGACTTAAATGTTAGACCTAAAACCATAAAAACCCTAGAAGAAAACCTAGGCAATACCATTCAGGACATAGGCATGGGCAAGGACTTCATGTCTAAAACACCAAAAGCAATGGCAACAAAAGCCAAAATTGACAAATGGGATCTAATTTAACTAAAGAGCTTCTGCACAGCAAAAGAAACTACCATCAGAGTGAACAGGCAACCTACAGAATGGGAGAAAATTTTTGCAACCTACTCATCTGACAAAGGGCTAATATCCAGAATCTACAAAGAACTCAAACAAATTTACAAGAAAAAAACAAACAACCCCATCAAAAAGTGGGTGAAGGATATGAACAGACACTTCTCAAAAGAAGACATTTATGCAGACAAAAAACACATGAAAAAATGCTCATCATCACTGGCCATCAGAGAAATGCAAATCAAAACTACAATGAGACATCATCTCACAGCAGTTAGAATGGTGATCATTAAAAAGTCAGGAAACAACAGGTGCTGGAGAAGATGTGGAGAAATAGGAACACTTTTACACTGTTGGTGGGACTGTAAACTAGTTCAACCATTGTGGAAGTCAGTGTGGTGATTCCTCAGGGATCTAGAACTAGAAATACCATTTGACCCAGCCATCCCATAACTGGGTATATGTCCAAAGGGTTGTAAATCATGCTGCTATAAAGACACATGCACACGTATGTTTACTGTGGCACTATTCACAATAGCAAAGACTTGAAACCAACCCAAATGTCCAACAATGATAGATTGGATTAAGAAAATGTGACACATATACACCATGGAATACTATGCATCCATAAAAAAGGATGAGTTCATGTCCTTTGTAGGGACATGGATGAGGCTGGAAACCATCATTCTCAGCAAACTATTGCAAGGACAAAAAACCAAACACCACATGTTCTCACTCATAGGTGGGAATTGAACAATGAGAACACATGGACACAGGAAGAGGAACATCACACACCAGGGACTGTTGTGGGGTGGGGAGAGGGGGCAGGGATAGCATTAGGAGAGATACACCTAATGCTAAATAACGAGTTGATGGGTGCGGCACACCAACATGGCACATGTATACATGTGTAACAAACCTGCACGTTGTGCACGTGTACCCTAACACTTAAAGTATAATAATAAACAAAAAGAATTCATCTGTAAAAAAAAAATATTCTATGTAATAAAATGGGAGATACTTACCTTGCACTTCTACTATGTCCCCCAGACTACGGTTGGCTCAAGGGAAAGCACTTGTACCATTGTTTGAGTTGCAAACTGAACAAGCCTTTTTCTTTTCTTGTCTTTAATGGAGACAAGAAAAGATGGTAGTTTAATGGAGAACTACCTTTACTCGGCCGAAAAACTGACGATGGTTATTCAAACTTAGGTTTTTGGCAGATATTTCTTTGAAAGTGAATAAAGTAAGCCCATCATTTCAAGAAAAACTAAAGGTTTTGTTGCTACTGATAAAATTCAAACTTTTAAGTGAAAATTAAGAATTTGGAAAACTTGTATCAGTTACTATGGGCTTGACAGCTTTCCAATACTTACTTTTCTGATGAGGTGGTGTATTAGTCAGGGTTCTCTAGAGGGACAGAACTAGTGGAACATATATATATAGTACCCCCAAATCAAAGCCTGCTTTTCTATCAAGGGGGTCCACTAGTCAGAGATTAGTAGCTCTCTGACAGCACCCTCTTCTTTCAGATATGGCAAGGAGTATCCTGCGCTAGAAAAAAAATTATATATATATATAATTATAAAATTATAATATATATAAATATATAAAATTATATATTTATATATATTTATATAAATATATTCCATTAGTTCTGTCCCTCTAGAGAACCCTAATACACCATCTCATATACATACAAAGGGGAGTTTATTAAGTATTTATTTACACGATTTATTTACACGATCACAAGGTCCCACAATAGGCCAACTGCAGGCTGAGGTGCAAGTGGAGCCAGTCCGAGTTCCAAAACTGAAGAATTTGGAGTCCAATGTTTAAGGGCAGGAAGCATGCAGCATGGGAGAAAGATGTAGGCTGGGAGGCTAGGCCAGTTTCTCTTTTTACATTTTCCTGCCTGCTTGTATTCTAGCAAACTGGCAGCTGATTAGATTGTGCCCACCCAGTTTAAGGATGGATCTGCCTTTCCCAGCCCACTGACTCAAATGTTAATCCCCTTTGACAACACCCTCACAGACACACCCAGGATCAATACTTTGTAAGCTTTAATCCAATCAAGTTGACACTCAGTATTAACCATCACAGATGGGTAGCAGTATTAATGAATGTGATTATTTTATATTAAGAAAATATCTTAGTCAACATTTAGAAGATCTACATAACTCAGTGAACCAATATTTTCAAAATAGCCTAAGTATGGTACAAAGTATATATGCATGATATTTCTATTTAAAGCAAGATAAACCAATAGATCTTAGTGTAGCAGACTAAAAAAAGTTCATTAATGTGATTTCAGATTTCACAGTGTAACTAACTCCTAGGTACTGGCTGAGTTTGGTATAGTATCACAGAAGAATATCCACAATTATCTGAAAAGATTAGTAAAACACTCCTCCCTTTTCCAACTATATATCTACATGATGCTGGACTTTCCTCATGAACTGACATGTCTCTTAGAAGAATAACTACTTATAGATGTGCCCATCCCATTGCCACTCAGATCCTGATGTCCTACTGTCTGGACGTAGGACCCGGAAAGTGTCAAACTCCTCTTCATCTGTGTCTGCAATTTGATGGGGCCGCAGAGAAGTATCAATGGTGAGAGGAGGAGAGGAACTAAAAATACTGAAAAGTGCATAGAAAAGGTTAATTTCCTGCTAGCTTGTCTCCTATTCCTTATTATGGAAGCAGTCCGTCTCTTGCCACCCTTGAGTCATATTGCACAAAAAACATTTTACTCTATCCATCTTAGAAGGCATCAGGCTTAAAGAAAAGGGGGTGGGAAGGAAGAGCCCACATTCAGATGGAGAAAAAGTTGGCAGTGTGTGTACCAAACCCTCTTTCTTAGTGGTAGCACTATCTATGAGAAGCATTCTAATAAACCTGCATTTTGCATAAATTTATGATCTATGACATTTGTAATTAGAAGAATAGCAAAAATTTTTCATGTATGTGAAGGCATGGAGTGATGCTTAAAGTGTGGTCAAAGTCATTCACTTTGGTCCCTACAAATGTGCCTGGAAATGTGCATGAGGGAGCTCTTAGAGGACAGCTGAGAGGGGACAGGGTGACTGTGTGCAGTGGGGCCAAGGGCTGGCCCTGTGCAAACTCAGAAGCCTCCAAGGAAGAAAGAAGGAATTAGAAAGGCAATCACTAAAGAAAGGAGAAAAGGGGCTCCACGACAGCAGGTCCTGAATCCTGGGACTTACACAGACTCATTGACAGGGAGATGTCGTTTTAAGCTGGAAAGCCCTGTTCACATGGGAGACGTTTCTGTTGTCGTTATTAGGGGAAGGGGATGAAACCCACCAAAAGCTATAAGTGTATAAAAGAAACAACCCAAAGAATAAATGTCAAACATTGTCACAGAGTTATAGACATTGAAGGGCTGAATGAAACCCAATAAATTATTCGAGGCCAATCCCCTCATTTCCCAAGGAAGCATCAAGGACTTGAGGTTTGGGAATGTGTTGTGGCACACTGCAAGCTGGTGCCAGAGCCAGGACCAGAATCTTTGCCTCAGCCCTGGGCTCACTTCCTTACAGCCTCAGTGACAGCTGGTGTGTACCAGCCCCAATGGCCATGAAGCCTGGCTGTGTGGAGTCACTTTCATTCAGAAGCCAGAGCAGTGGCCCTGGATTCCAGGGAGCAAAGAAGCCTCATCCAAACTCTGGAGACAGGGCTTGAGCCTCCACGGAGCAGATGCCAGAGGTGACATGAGCTGGAGAAATCCTTGCTCCGTGTTAAAATGGCCTACCTACATCTTGTCCTGACCACCAGATGAAGGAGTATGTGAAGCCCTAAGCTAAGCTGACCCTCCAACTAGTTTTATGTTCAATGACACCTGACCTCAGATCTGTAGCCCTCACCCCACCCAGCAGCCCCACAGAACTCGCTGGCTTTCACAGGTAGACTCTCAGAAAGGAGGCTAAAGGGAGGGGGTGGGTGGAGTAGAAGGGAAAGGTGAGAAACGGACCTGTTTTATACATCCCTCGCCATACTTCCCAAACCCATTGTCCAGCATGGATGTGTGCAATTCATCTGTCTTTCTATAACTTTGTGTGTATTTGGGGGATGGTAGAGGTTTAAACTCAAGCATTCCTTATGGCACCTCTGGTTTCCCCAAGACTGTGTCTGTCTTCTGGGAAGCTCCTAGTACTGAGGGCCTGGGAAGGGAGGTAGCATCATGCCCACACAGGCACTGCTGAGGTGCCCATTGTCCCATCTGCTCCTCAGCTTTTAGTCTATACCAGTCCCCAGAAGGGCAGCCCTCATTCCAGGCATGAGACCCTTTAGATCCGACTATTCTCTCAGCTAATCTGTACCACCCTTGAGGGCACAGGACTCACTTTCTGCCACGCTGGGGCACAGAAATCTTCCCAGAGAGAATTGCCAACAGGTAGAGCATAGAGCTGCCTGTCAACTCCTTCTTCACCCAGGGACACCCTTCCCAAAATGGGCAGGAGTGAAATCTCCGCTGTCACTCAGGATGTCCCTCCCGTGTTGGATACACATGGAGTCCTTTCCACTCCCTCAAGAGTATCAGCTTCTGGAAATGCCTGTGAAGACAACTCTTTGTTTTCTCTGCTTCCTACTTCTCCTATTATCTGTCCTGGGGGACTGAGCATCAAACGGCCTTGTCACTTATATTGGCTGAGTGGAGGGAGAAGGGGAAAATATATAACTATGGTTGGGGGGAGGAATCCTACATAAGTTAATGTAGCAAAATGTTGTCATGCTATATTTCACATTCTTATAGGGTTTGGGTATGCGATAAAATTCCGCATGTGTGCTGAATATCTGCAAGCAGGAATGTCACCAAAGAGGCTGAGAATAAATAGAGGAGGTCAGAGACTCGGCAGAAGTGGCCCTCGAGGAGAAATTCCTCCACCTCTAGTCTTTTCTTCTTGGGTGGCAGTGGAGAATTCTGAGAATCACTTGGAGGCTGAGGGCACTGAAGACACTGGACATGGTGAGGGGCATGGTGGCCCTGCAGGGGCTGCTAGCACATGTTGTGCAGCACCTCTGGGCAAGAGGGTGCCCCTTTGAGATTTTTTTTTTCTTTTTTTTTTTTTGAGACAGAGTCTCGCTCTGTTGCCCAGGCTGGACTGCAGTGGCGCGATCTGGGCTCACTGCAAGCTCCGCCTCCCGGGTTCATGCCATTCTCTGCCTCAGCCTCCCCAGTAGCTGGGGACTACAGGCGCCTGCCACCACGCCCGGCTAGTTTTTTGTATTTTTAGTAGAGACTGGGTTTCACCGTGTTAGCCAGGATGGTCTCAATCTCCTGGCCTTGTGATCTGCCTGCCTTGGCCTCCCAAAGTGCTGGGATTACAGGCATGAGCCACCATGCCAGGCCTCCCCTTTGAGATTTCAAATTACAAAAAGATGTCCTGTCCTCTGGCCTGACACAGCTCAGGACCAAAAAGCAGGGCCTAGCAAGCAGGAGAAGGGCTGCATTCCAGCCCGACAAGCCCCCTCGGCCAAGCACTGTTATGCCTCACACAAACTGAATGACCCTAAGTGGGAACACAGCTCCCTTTCATTACAAAACCAGGTTGTATTTTAGATAAGATTACAAGGGAACCTGCAGGAGGGCCTTGATTCCATATTCAATAATCATGGGTAGTTAGGGAACTCAAAACCCAAAACAACAAGGCAATCAGGCATTGGCTCTGCACCTGAGTACCTAGTTTTGGTTTGTTGTTTTGGTTAAAGGAATCTCCACCTCTCAAGTAATATGCCAAAGCCTGAGAATGAACTATTCAAGAAAAATCCCACACTCAAAAGCTTCCTTGCTAGTCTAAATGGTTTTCATGTGCCTATGTATCTCTGCTCCTCAGTGTAAATGTCATGGGACACCCTACAGGGACCACAGAGCTTTACAATTCACCTCCCAAGGTTAAACAATGATAAACAAGAGAAAGGAAAAGAATAAAGAAATTAAGCCAGCCCTGCACATGCCCAATTTTCTGGTAACACAGATCATATCTGAAGCAAAAGCTGCTTCCAATCAGAGTTGGTTGCATAGCTGTTATAATACTTTCCACATTGGACATTTTAACTAGCACACAGTGCATTAGGAGGCCTGTGCACACACTGACTGTCAGGGTGAGGAGGTGTTCTCTAAGGAAAGTCTGCATAAACACGTATGGATTAATCAACCTCCAAGAAACGCCTCCTACCCCTGCTCATCACAATCCAGTGCAAAGTTGTTGTGCAAGCTGCCATGCTAACCTTATTTCAGGCTACTGTTCACACTGTGAAAACAAACTACTGTACCTGAGGAGCTTTCCTTGGAGAGGCACTGGTGACATGGCCTCAGGATGCTAGACACTGTCAAGGAAATGCCCAGTGGGGCACATCACTGAGGGCTCAAGTTTGAAGCTCTCTCGAATTCATATGTCCAGAAGATGGTTGGCTTACAGGTGAGAGGCTATCTGGGCCAGAGCTCCCAATCTCATCCCAAATCCACAAAGGCTCCCTGGTTAGTCGGTCTCTCTCTCAAGGACCTGTCCTTTGCAGCCAACAACTTCTTCCCTCACCTCCAGCTGGCTCCTGAGCAGACACTGGGGAGAGCCGTCCATCTGCATTCTCAAGGTGATTGTGGCAGAGGAAAACCACTGTGTTTGCCACATACAAGCTGCAGCACTTTCCAGCCTCCCCTGCAGTGAGGGAGAGGCATCTGGTTGAGTTTGTCTAGTGGAATATGAGCAGAAGTGACAGGCGGCACATCTGTGTTAAGACAGTTAAAGGCCAGTGTGCCTTCAGCAGGGTTTCTTTCCTTTCAGAGCCCACACATTTAAGATTGCAACATCATAAGTTAAAGGAGCCAGGATTCCTGAGTTACTGCATGGACGAGTATGGCCAAGAAGGACCCCATTTAATCCACATCCGACTTTGGGAGTAAGAAATAAAACTTTCCTGGTCGGGCACAGTGACTCACGCCTGTAATCCCAGCACTTTGGGAGGCCGAGGTGGGCAGATCAACTGAGGTCAGGCACTTGAGACCAGCCTGGCCAACATGGTGAAACCCTATCTCTACTAAAAATACAAAACTTAGCCCGGCATGGTGTCAGGTGCCTATAATCCCAGCTACTCAGGAGGCTGAGGCAGGAGAATCGCTTGAATCTGGGAGGCAGAGGCTGCAGTGAGCCAAGATTGCACCACTGCACTCCAGCCTGGGTGATAGGAACAAAACTCCATCTCAAAGAAAAGAAAGAAAGAGAGAGAGAGAGAAGGAAGGAAGGAAGGAAGGAAGGAAGAAAGGAAGGAAGGGAGACAAAAAGAAAAGAAATAAACCTGTCCTGTGTGAAGCATTTGAGTCTGCAGGATCCCTTGTTATAAAGTTAGAGAAGGTGATGTTGACTAATCCAATGGCTTTCTGAGATCATTAGAACCGAAAGTTAATCAGCCCTCCTTTACACCTGGCCCTTCTTTCAACACTCTTTCATTCAACCCCAAGAATGCCCCAGGACTTGATAGACTACAGGCGTGAAGAGTAGGTTTCCATTAAGAGGGCCTTCCCGAGAAGGAGGCTTTCAGAAAATGAGAAAAATATGTGTTCTTCTGTCTGGGAAATTCTTTTTTCACTTCTTCCTCCTCCTAGAGGCTAAAAAGGCAACTTGGAATAAATCGGTTTATATTGCCAGACCGATAACAAATGTATAAGTAACATGTGAGGTGTTGATAGAGGCTCTGAAGAAACATAAAAGAGGGTAATGGGATAAAGAGCAGAGGGAAGGGAATTACCATTTTATATAAAACAGTCAAGGTAGTCCCTCTGATAAAGTGGCATTTGGACAAAGATCATAAGGAAGAGCATAAGCCATGTGAATACCTGTGGGAAAGGTGTTCCAGGCAGAAGGAACAACAGGTGCAAAGGCTCTGGGGCAAGGGCAGAATTTGAGGAAAATTAAGGCATCCAGTGTAGCCGCAGCAGAGTTAAAAAGGGGCCAAGTGCTAAGATATGGGGTCAGAGGGCTGGCCAGACGCATATCCTGCAGGGCCTTGCAGGCCAGGGAAAGGATTTGGGATTTCTCTGAGAGAAAATTGGTTCTGTTCTTTCCCACTTCAAATTCTGTGTTTCAGTTTGTACCCAGCAGCCAGAATGACTCTCTTTCAACCCAAGTCATATTGCATCACCTATCTGCTCAGAGTCCCTGCTGCATCTTCACATCAGAGTAAAATCCACAGTCCTCACAGTAGCCTCAAGGTCAGCCCTTCCTATGCGCTCTGGCCCCTGTTGCCTCCCTGACCTCAACATTCCCCCACTCTGCCTTGGCCATGGTGCCTCCTGGCTGTTCCTCAAATTAATATAAAAGAAAAAAAGTGACATCAGCAAAAATGGCAAAGACCTCTGAAAATTATCTCTGCTTTAGAAGCAATTGGGGAAATGGCAAAATTTGTCAAAATCAGTTTTTTCATAACTTTGGAAATAAACACTGGCACCAATCAGGATAGTATTTATGTGAAAAAAGTTGAATTTTGAAAAGAACAGAGTGATTTTAGGCATTTTAACCTGCCCTTTTTCCATCACTCTTGCTCTAGCTCCATGGAAACCTTGAAAACCAACAGCCTTAAATCACACTAAAAACCATCAGCCTGGCAGCCTCTGGAGGGGTAGATTGGCGATGGAGTTCCCTCGAAGCCTAATTCCCAGACAACTATCATTACCTCACCTGGATGTGTGGTGCTTCCCTGGAAGATCCCCATCTACAAAGCTGTCTTTATTTAACCTAATTCATAATTTACCAGCTACAAAAATCCTTTTCCCTAGGAATGTTTGCCAAAACAAATTAGAGGCAATTGATTAACTTTGCTGCTTTGAGGCAGTGGAAACAGTTGGGGGAAAAAATATGCTAATCAAAAAAGTTTTTTTTTTTTTTACTTTAAAACTTTTGTCTTCCACAATTGTTTTAATTTAATTATTTTCTTTTTTAATTATACTTTAAGTTTTAGTGTACATGTGCACAACGTGCAGGTTAGTTACATATGTATACATGAGCTAGGGAAGGAACTATCCATAGGGGATTTGAAAAGTTATGACATATACCTCGGATTGTAGAAGGTCATATGCATGTGTAGGGCTGTGCACATTCCAGTAAAGACCTGAGAAAGCCCTAAACTCTCTCTGTGGGCTGACCTTGGGCTCTGGACAAGCATGTAGTGAAGGCAAAGACAGGGTCATCAACGAACTGACTGAGTTTTGGAGACACACACCAACACACACACAGAGCCCCTAGGCAAAGACTGGAAGAATTATTGGTTCCACACATGTAAGAAAATCTCCATCCAATAATTAGCTGACATTTAAGCTAACCAAGCAGAGACATCAGTGTTCACACAACAAAGAATACAGACTTTACAGAATTAGTTCAGAAAAGTCTCTGAAGAAACAAACAATCACAAAAAGAAACAGCAACAACAAGCCAGAGGAAGGGGAGATAACATGATTTCTAGAGTTGCTACATTGTATTATTTAATTTGTCTGTTTTTTGTTTTGTTTTGTTTTGTTTTGAGATGGAATCTCGCTCTGTCGCCCAGGCTGGAGTGCAGTGGCGCGATCTCTGCTCACTGCAAGCTCCGCTTCCCGGGTTCACGCCATTCTCCTGCCTCAGCCTCCCAAGTAGCTGGGACTGCAGGCGCTACTTGGGAGTAGCCACCACACCCGGCTAATTTTTTGTATTTTTAGTAGAGACAGCGTTTTACCATGTTAGCCAGAATGGTCTCGATCTCCTGACCTCGTGATCTGTCTGCCTCGGCCTCCCAACATGCTGGGATTACAGGCGTGAGCCACCATGCCCAGCCTAATTTGTCTGGTTTTTAATAAAATATTATGAGAGATACAAAGCAACAAGAACAAGTATATCCCATACAGGGGGAAAGGAATGGGGAAGCAGCCAACAGAGAAAATCCAAGCATTGTACTTACTAGACTACCACTTTCATTATTACAAATGAGTTAAAAGAACTAAGGGAAACCATGTCTTAAGAACTAAAAGAAAGTATAAGAAAGATATTGCCTAAAATAAATAATATCGATAGAGATAGAAATTATTAAAAAGGAGCCAACTGGAGAATCTGGAAGTAAAAAGTGTAATAATTAATTTAAAATTCACTAAAGGG
Source organism: Homo sapiens (assembly GCF_000001405.40). Classification (NCBI taxonomy): domain Eukaryota; kingdom Metazoa; phylum Chordata; class Mammalia; order Primates; family Hominidae; genus Homo; species Homo sapiens. Next base: position 20,896,281 of record NC_000002.12, on the reverse strand, counting down.
GCTCAATAACAGATCTGAGCAGGCATAAGAAAGAATCAGCAAACTTGAAGATAGGACAATTGAGATTACTCAGTCTGAGAAACAGAAAAACAAATGAATGAAGAAAAATGAACAGATCTTCAAGTACATGTGAAACACTGCCAAGCATACTAACATATGCTTGATATGGGCAGAAAAAAAATATTGGCTAAACGCTTTCCAAATTTGATGAAATACGTGAATCTGCACATTCAAGAAGTTTCAAGAACTCCAAGCATGATAAACTCAAACAAATTGACACTCAGTTACATTGTACCCAAATTGTCAAAAACCAAAGATAGAGAATTTTATAAGCAGCAAGAAAAAAGTGACTTGCCATGTACAAGGGACCCTCAATAATATCCAAGGCTGATTTCTCATCAGAAATCATGGAAGCCAGAAAGCAGTGGGATGAAATTTTTTGTTTTTAGACAAGGTCTTGCTCTGTTGCCAAGGCTGGAGTGCAGTGGTGTGATCATAGCTCACTGCAGCCTCGACATCCTGGGCTCAAGTGATCCTCTCACGTTAGTCTCTCAAGTAGCTGGGACTACAGGTGCACACCACCACACCAACCAAATTTTCTTATTTTTTGTAGAGTTGGGGTCTTGTCATGTTACTCAGGCGGTCTTGAACTCTCAGGCTCAAGCAATCCACCCACCTCAGCCTCTTGAAGTGCTTAGATTACAGGCATGAGCCACCATGCCCAATCCTGAATGAACTATTTAAAATGCTGAAAGCAAAAGTCAACCAAGAATTCTATAGCTAACTAAATTAAACGTCAAGAATGAAGAAAAATTAAGATATTCCTAGATAAACAAAAGCTAAGAGATTTTGTTTCTAGTAGGCTTGATCTATAAGAAATGCTAAAAGGAGTCCTTCCTTCAGGTCAAAATGAAAGGACATAGAAACTCAGAGCCATATGAAGAGATAAAGAACACTAGTAAAAGTTACACAGTAGTTGCACAGGTCAATATAAAAGCCAGTATCATTTGCTTTGTAATACCTCTAATTTTCTATATGATTTAAGTGGCAAAATCGTAATTATAAATCTGTTAATGGTATACAATGTATAAAGATGTAACCTGCGATAATAACTATATAAAATGGAGGCATTGTATAGGAATACAGTATATACTTTTGAAACTAAGTTCATATTATTCAAACTAGTTTGTTATAAGTTTAAGATATTAATTGTAATCACCAGGACAACTACTAAGAAAATAAGTAATAATCCCAGCACTTTGGGAGGCCAAGGCGGGCAGGTCACTTGAGGACAGGAGTTCTGACCAACATGGTGAAACCCTGTCTCTACTAAAAATACAAAACATTAGCTGGGCGTGGTGGCAGGCACCTGTAATCCCAGCTACTTGGGAGGCTGAGGCAGAAGAATCACTTGAACCCAGGAAGTGGATGTTGCAGTGAGCCAACATTGCACTATTGCACTCCAGCCTGGGTGATAGAGTGAGACTCCATCTCAAAAAAAAAAAGAAAAGAAAAGAAGAAGAAGAAGTAATACACATCAGTATATACAAGCATAAAATGCTTTACAGAAATAAAAGGGACTATTTGTAAAGAAACAGCAGGGAATTAAAATGAAACAGTAGAAAATATTTAACATCAAAGAAGGCAGTGATAGAAGAATACAGGAACATAAAAGACATAAGACATAGAGAAAACAAATAATAAAATGACAGAGGTAATTCCCAACATGGGAGTAAATTACATTAGGTGTAAATATATTAAACATTCCAAAGGCAAAGGTTGTCAGATTTTTTAAAAGGACCCAAATATATGCTATCTACAAGAGTTACACCTTTTTAAAAAAATGTTCAGCTTTTGTTTTAGATACAGAGAGTACATGTACAGGTTTGTCACATGGGTATATTGCACCCAGGTAGTGAGCATAGTACCAAATAGTTTTTCAATCCACTCATCCCTCTAATATTCTTCAGTATCTATTGTTCCTATATTTATGTCCATGTGTGCTCAATATTTAGCTTCCACTTAGAAGTAAGAACATGCGATAGTTTTCTGTTCCTGCATTAATTCACTTAGGATTATGGCCTCCTGCCGCATCCATGCTGCTGCAAAGGACATGATTTCATTCTTTTTTATGGCTGCATAGTATTTCATAGTGTATATGTACCACATTTTTCTTCTCCAATCCACCACTGATGGGCACCTAAGTTGATTCCATGTCTTTGCTGTTGTGAATTGCACAGCAATGAACATACAAGTGCATGTGTGTTTTTGGTATAATGATCTATTTTCCTTTAGGTATATATTCAGTAATGGGATTGCTGGGTTGAATGGTAATTCTATTGTAAGTTCTTTGAGAAATCTCCAAACTGCTTTCCACAGTGGCTAAACTAATTTACATTCCCATCAACAGTATATAAGTATTCCCTTTTCTCTGCAGCCTCACCAGCATCTGTTGTTTTTTGCCTTTTTAATAATAGCCATTCTGACTAGTTTGAGATGGTATCTCTCTGTGGTTTTCATTTGCATTTCTCTGATGATTAGTGATGATGAGTATTTGTTCATGTTTGTTAGGTGTTTGTATGTCTTTTGTGAAGTGTCTGTTTCTTACTTGTTCATTTGTTTAAGTTCCTTATAGATTCTATGTATTAGATCTTTCTTGGACGCATAATTAGTGAATATTTTCTCCCATTCTGTAAGCTGTCTGTTTGCTCTGTCGATGCTTTCTTTTGCTGTGCAGAAGCTCTTCAGTTTAATTAGATTCCATTTTTATGGAATCTATTTAGATTCTATTTTTATGTTGCAGCTGCTTTTGAGGACTTAGCCAAAAATTATTTGCCAAGGCCAATGTCAAGAAGGCTATTTCCTAGGTTTTCTTCTAGAATATTTATAGTTTGAGGTCTTTTGTTTAAATCTTTAATGGATTTTGAGTTAGTTTTTTAATATGATGAAAGGTGAACATGTAGTTTCATTCTTCTGCATATGGCTACCCATTTATCCCAGCACCATTTATTGAATAGAGAGTCCTTTCCCCATTGCTTTTTTTTGTCAGCCTTGTCGAAGATTGGATGATTGTAGATGAGCAGCTTCGTTTCTAGGTTCTGTATTCTATTCTGTTGGTCTGTGTGTCTGTTTACCATGCTGTTTTGGTTACTGTAGCCTTATAGTATAGTTTGAAGTTGAGTAGTGTGACTAGAAGTGATAAAAAATTTTAGAATGCTTTCAGGATGTAAAATCAATTTTCAAAAATCAGTAACATTTCTATGCACCAATAAAGTCCAAGCTGAGAGTCAAACAAGAACACAATTCCATTTACAAAAGCCACAAAGAAAATAAAATATCTGGTGATACACCTAATCAAGGAAGTGAATGATCTCTACAAGAAGAACTGCAAAATACTGCTGAAAGAAATCAGAGATGATGCAAATAAATGGAAAAAATCCCATGTTTATGGATTGGAAGAATCAATATCTTTAAGATGACCACACTACCCAAAGTAATTTACAGATTCAATGCTATTCCTATCAAGAGTTATGCTTTAGATTCAAAAATGAAAACAGGTTGAAACTTAAAGAATTTTTAAAATGCCAAAGGTAACTAGAATATTAGACAAGAGAGTTCAAGACAAAAAAAAGTTAATAAAGACAAGTAAGAACATTTACAATGATAAACAGATAACATTAATAAATATCTAACAATAAAGCCCCATAAGACAAGAAGCAAAAACTGACAGAATTAAAGAGGTAAATAGACCATTTAACAATAACATTTTGAGACTTCCATATCCCACTTTTAATAATGAAAAGAGCAACTAGATAGCATATCAAAAAATCAAAAATATAGATGACTGATACAAGACCTGAACAGCACTATTAACCAACTAGACTTAACAGGTATCTATTAGAGGACTCCACTCAATAGCATAATACATGTTCTTCTCAAGTGCTCATGGAATATACTTCAAGATAGACCATATATTAAACCATAAAACAAGTCTCAATCATTTTTAAATGATTAATAAAAGGTATTTTCTTTTACGATATGGAATGAAATTATAATCAACAAAAGAAGAAAATGTAGTGAGTTCACAAATATGTAAAAATTAAACACACTTCTAAATAACCAATGAACCAAATTAGAAATTACAAAGGAAATTATAAAATACTTTGAGATGTGTGAAAATATAAACACAACGCAACAAAAAAGGCTGACCAAAAAAAACAAAGGCAGAAGGCTCAAATTACTAAACTCAGGAATGAAAAGCTTTACGGAAATAAAAGGAAATATAAGGGAATATTATAAACAATTGTGTGACAACAAATTAGATAACCTAGATAAAATAGAAAAATTCATAGAAAGACACAAACTACTGAAATCTCAAGAAAAAAATAGAAAATCTGACAGTCCTATGAAAAATAGAGTTTGAATAAGTAATCAAAGCACTTCCCTCAAAGAAAAGCCCAGAATCAGATGTCTTCACTGTTGAATTCTACCAAACATTTAAAGAATAATTAACACCAATACTTCACAAATTTTTTCAAAACACAGAAGAGGAAGAAGAGCTTCCCAACCCATTCTATGAGGTCAGCATTTCTCTGATACCAACCAAAGACATCACAAGAAAAGAAAACTACAGACAAAAATCTCTCATGAATATAGATCCAAATATCCTCAACAAAATACTAGAAGACCAAATCTGTAATATATAAAAAAGACCAAGTGAGTTTTATCCCAGGAATGAAACATTGGTTCAACATATGAAAATTCAACCATATAATACACCATATTAATATAGTAAAGGACAAAAATGCATAATCATCTCATTTGACAAAATATAAAGCCCTTTCACAATAAAAAAAACACTCAGCAAACTAAGAATACAAGTAAATTTTTCAACCTGTTAAAGTGCATCCACAAAAAAAAGAGAAAAAAAACTAGAGCTAACTTTATACTTAATGTTGAAGGAATGAAAACTTTCCACTGAAGATCGGGAACGAGAAAAGGATGCCCTTGCTTATCACTTATATTCAGCATTGTACCTCACACCAGGACAATTAGGAAAGAAAATGAAATAAAAAGCATCCATATTTGAAAAAAAAGGAGAAAAACCATTTATATTTGTAGATGGTACTGAATATAATAATATACACACACATATATATGCACACACATGAACTATTAGAACTAATAAGCAGGTTCAAAAGGTTGAAAGATATAAAATCAATACACAAAATATAAAATATAGCATACCAAAAATCAAGTGTATTTCTACAGTAGCAATGAACAATTCAAAAAATAAATTAAGAAAACAATTCCATTTTAAATGCATCAAAAAGAATAAATAAAATAACAAAGATGTGCAGGATTTGTACACTGAAAACATCATTAAAAGAAATTAAAGACCTAAATAATTGAGAAGATATCCTGTGTTCCTAGAAGGAAGATTTGATATTGTTAAGGCAGCTGTGCTCCCCAAATTGATCTACAGATGCAAAGCAATCTCTATTAAAACTCCAGCTGAATTTTTTGCAGAAATTGACAAGCAGATTCCAAAATTCATATGGAAATGCAAGGGACTCAAAATAAACAGCACAATCTTGGGAATATAAGAACAAAGTTAGAGGACTCACAACTCACAGTATCAAAACCTACTACCAAGCTATAGTAATCGAGGCTGTGTAGAATTGGCATTAGGATATATATACAGAAAAATCAAATAGAATGAAGAATCCAGAAATAAACTCATATATTCTACCAGTAATTAATTTAAGACAAGAATGCTATGACAATTAAGTCGGGAAAGAAAAATCTTTTCAACAAATGGTATTTGGTCAAGTGGATATCCACATGTAAAAGAATGAATTCATATCCCTGCTTCACACAATATACAAAAATTAGCCCCAAATGTACTAAAGACCTAAATTTAAGAGTAAAAACTCTAAAACTCTTCAAAGGAAATATAGGTATAAATCTTCATGACCTTGGATTAGTCAATGGTTTCTTAGATATGATACCTAATGCACAAAGAAAATATAAATAAATTGGACTTTATCAAAATTAAAATATTTGCTTTTGAAAGTACATTAGTGGTTGCCAGGCACTGGGAGAAGGTGAGAGAATGGAGAGTGACTGATAATGGCATGGAGTTTCTTTTATTAAAAACTTCTTTAAAATATTTAAAAAATATCTTTATTGAGATAATCAATAACGATTATATCTTTATTGAGATAATAATCAATAATAAGGCCTGGCACAGTGGCTGACACCTGTAACCCCAGCACTTCGGGAGGCTGTGGCGGGTAGATCCTTTGAGGTCAGGAGGTCCACACCAGCCTGGCCAACATGGTGAAACCACGTCTCTACTAAAATTACAAAAATTAGCTTGGTGTGGTAGCGCATGCCTGTAATTCCAGCTACTCGGGAGGCTGAGGCATGAGAATCTCTTGAACTCGGGAGGCAGAGGTTGCAGTGAGCCAAGATCTAGCCACTGCATGCCAGCCTGAGTGACTGAATGACGCTCTGTCTTAAAACAAAACAAAACAAAACAAAAAGATATAATCATTCACATTTTATACAATTCACCTAAAATGTAAAATTCAATGGTTTTTAGTATATATTTCAGAGTTGTGCACCCATCACTACAATCAATTGTAGAACATTTTAATATTCCCAAAAGAAACACTACACCCCTTAGTCATCACCGCCCAATTCCCCTTCCGTTATAGTCATAGGTAACCACTAATCTATGTTCTGTTTTTATGGATTTGCCTCTTCTGGACATTTTATATAAATAAAATCATACAGTATGTGGTCCTTTCTGACTGGCTTCTTTAACTCAGTGTAATATCTTCAATGTTTTTCCGTGTTGTAGCGGGTATCAGTACTTCCTTTCTTCTTTTTTTTTTTTTTTTTGAGACGGAGTCTCGTTCTGTCGCCCAGGCGGGAGTGCAGTGGCGCGATCTCCGCTCACTGCAAGCTCCGCCTTCCGGGTTCACACCATTCTCCTGCCTCAGCCTCCCGAGTAGCTGGGACTACAGGCACCCGCCACTGCGCCCGGCTAATTTTTTGTATTTTTAGTAGAGACGGGGTTTCACCGTGGTCTCGATCTCCTGACCTCGTGATCCGCCCGCCTCGGCCTCCCAAAGTGCTGGGATTACAGGCGTGAGCCACCGCGCCCGGCCACTTCCTTTCTTCTTATTGCCAAATAATATTCCACTGTATGGACATACCACGTTTTATTTATCTATTCATTAGTTGATGGACACGTGGATTGTTTCTGCTTTTTGACTAGTATGAATGATGTGGATACAGGGTTTTTTTGGAATGAAGAAAACGTCCTGAAATTAGGTAGTGGTGACTTCGTGAATATTCTAGAAACCACTAATTTGTAGACTTTATGACATGTGAATTCTATCTCAAAAAAAAAGTCATACTCTACTTTATGGCCTTTTCACTTGCTGTTTCCTCTTCTAGAATCATCATCCTTAGATACCTATCTGGCTTCCTTTCTACCTGCTCTAATTTCACTTTTAAATGTGTCCTCCCCTTGCCATATATAATATACTGTATGTATTTATATATCCTATATAGTTTAGTACTTCTTTTCTTTATTGTCTGCCTTCCCCCATTAAAACAGCACTTGGAATAATGCCTAGCACAAAATAGTCAACAAATGTTGGTTGAATGAATACATTAGAGGATTTTGTGCAGAGTTAACAAGACCTATCTTAGGTTTTAACAGAATCACTCTGGCTATGTGTGGCAAATAGACACCAGGAGAGAGAGACAGAGAGTAAAAACAGGAAGACCACTTAAGGTTATTGCCATAGCTCTGTTGCAAGATGTTGATAGCTTGGACTACATGTTCCAACAGTTTTTAAAACAGAAACAACTGGTTTTAACTTGTCCTAGGACAAGTTTTCAAATATTTTCTCCCATCCTGTATGTTGTCTGTTTACTCTGTTGATGGTTTCTTTTGCTGTGCAGAAGCTCTTTAATTAGGTCCAACTTGTCAATTTTTGTTTTTGTGGCGGTTGCTTTTGAGGACTTAGCAATAAATTATTTGCCAAGGCTGATGTAAAGAAGAGTACTTCCTAGTTTTTCTTCTAGGATTTTTAGTTTGTGTTCTTACATTTAAATCGTTAAAGCATTTTGAGCTAATTTTTGTATATTGTGAAAGATAGGGATCCAGCTTCAATTTTCTGCATATGGCTAGCCAATTATCTCAGCACCATTTACTGAATAGGGAGTCCTTTTTCCATTGCTTTTGTCCATCTTGTCAAAGATGAAATAGTTGTAGGTGTGCAGCTTTATTTCTGAGTTTTCTATCTGTTCCATTGGTCTGTGTATCTGTTTTTGTAAGAGTATCATGCTGTTTTGGTTATGTGGCTACACACTATAGTTTGAAGTTGACTAACGTGATGTCTCTGGCTTTGTTTTTCTTGCTTAGAATTACTTTGGCTATTTGAGCTTTTTTTGTTGTTCCATGTGAGTCAACCCAGGTGCCCATCAATGGCAGGGTAGATAAAGAAAATGTGATACATATACACCATGGAATACTACACAGCCATAAAAAAAGAATGAAATGTCCTTTGCAGCAACATGGTTGAAGCTGGAGGCCATAATCCTAAGCAAACTAATGCAAGAACAGAAAACCAAAATTACATGTTCTCACTTATAAGTGGGAGCTAAGCATTGAGCACACATGTACATAAATAGGAGAACAATACACATCGTGGACTACTTGAGGATAGCGGAGAGGGGCTGAGTTAAAAAACTACTTATTGGGTGCTATGCTTATTACCTGGGTGACAGGATCCATACTCCAAACCTCAATGTCACACAATATGCCCATGTAACAAATCTGCACATGTACTGCCATAAATTTGAAATAAAAGTTGGAGAAAAAAAAAAACACCTGAAAAGCGTGACTAAGAAATTTTGGAAACTATGAGGGTGGGTTAAACGTCAATGAAGAATTAAGATAATTTTTCATAGGAGACACAGGGCCTGGCATGCCTTTGAAGGAAAATGTAATCAGTGCCCAACTGTGAATTGTTTCCATGTGTTTGTCAGCAACCTAATAAAATAATACAAAAGTGTTGATGATGTCCCAGCCCTAGATCTGCCAACTCAGGGTGCTAAGCAGCCCACCAGGCTTGAGGGATCCAGAATCTATTTCTTTCTACTGCTCTGGGACAAACCTTCAACCCTCAGAGTCAGGATGATAGGAATTCACTTCAGTGGAGACTTTGCCTTTTTCTCCACCAATCTGTTTCTCATTCTTCCGCAACACACGCAGAACATGAATGCCTTCTCTTCTCTGCTGGGGCCTCCTTCTTTTATATAGAAAAGGGTCCAGCTTCCCTGTCACTGAAAGGGTTATGAGAAAGGGTTTTATTTTTTTAAGTGTAAAAACAACTGGTTTAATAATGGAAAGGCCTAGCGTTTGTTCAATCCATAAGCCAACACTCTGACCCTCTGGTACTATGCAAAGGTATATTACAGGGGCAATCCTGGGCCCAGCCTCAGACAGGGTAATGGTCTTCACCAGGACAAATGAACTTATATTGGCAACAGTCATTGACAAAGACTTATACTTCACTTCTCAATGTTTTGTAGTGTTCAGCCGGTTATAAGGATCTTTTACCAGAGATGCTCTCCTTAAGGCCATCAGTCTATTTGGGGAAGAAATAAGCACAAGTCATCCCGTCCAGCTCAATTGTTAGGTGTTTCTGAGCCATACATTGGAAAGACTCTCACCGTGGATTGCCCAATATTTTATCTTAGTATTTCACAGAGAACATCTGATGAAATAACATGTGCTCATTCTGGAAGGCCTCAACTACACAATCCCCTATATGTCTCTTGGTTGGCACCCGTCTGATGCTCCTAAGCCTCTAAGGCTTCACACACACACACACACACACACACACACACACACACACACACACATACACGCACACACAGCAATGTGTTTCCATTATTAGAAAGTGACTTCCCAATCTGGCTCTGAGAACCAGTTACTTCAAATTTAATTTACTCATACATATATTCATTCATTCATCCATCACTCGTGGATTAATTTATCCAAAATTTCCTAAGGGCTTTCTGTATGCCAGGCATGATGATAAACATCAGAAATAGGTGTGCTGCCCTCAGGGAGCATGCAGTCCAGTTGATGAAACAGAAATATTATTTGACCAAAGGGCAGACACAGGGAGCGCAGAGGAGGGGCTGTGAAATTCAGTCTGCCAGGGATGGGAGGACCCCACAGAGGTCAAAGCATTTAAGTCGTGTCTTCAAAAATGGGTAGGAATTGTTGAGAGAGAAAATTTAAAGGGTGTTCTCTTGTGAGGATCATTAACCATTTTCAGTGTTTTGATTTTCCTATTCTTTGTGGAACCTGACCATACACCAGTTTATAATTCACTATATTAAACCCTCAAGTTTCCCTAAGAGGCTGACAGTTACCACCAGGGTTGGCTGCTTGTAGCTACAATGCTCTGGCATTGGGTGGCTGTTGCTTGTTCTGTAAGTACCAGACCCTGAGTCAGTCGACCCCAGGGGAGTCCATCTCATTCCCCAGCCCCATCTCATTCAAGAAAGATCGCTGAGCACCCAGTGTGATACACAGCCTGTGTATTCTCAGTTACCATATGGCTGTGTTAATCTCACTTATTGTTCAATTTAGAAAAGAAGCAAGTGGGTCCCTAGGGGCCTTTCACCAGCACCTATACTTGCCCATGCCTGTCCTTAGGCCTCTTTTCTTTCCCCTCTAGGGTGGTATATTAGTCCATTCTCATGCTGCTGTGAAGAAATACTGAGAATGGGTAAGTTATAAAGAAAAGAGGTTTAATGGACTCATAGTTCTGCAAGGCTAGGGAGGCCTCAGGAAAATTACAATCATGGCAGAAGGCACCTCTTCACAGGGCAACAGGAGGGAGAATGAGCACAAGCAAAGGAAATGCCAGATGCCTATAAAACCATTAGATCTCATGAGAACTCATTATCACGAGACCAGCTTGGGAAAACTGCCCCCATCATTTAATTATCTCCCACCAGGTCCTTCCCATGACACGTGGGGATTATGGGGTATATTAGTCTGTTTTCACATGCTGAGGTAAAGACATACCCGAGACTGGGCAATTTACAAAAGAAAGAGGTTTAATGGGCTTACAGTTCCAAGTGGCTGGGGAGGCCTCACAATCACGTTGAAGGCAAGAAGGAGCAAGTCACGTCTTACATGGATGGCAGCAGGCAGAGAGAGAGTTTATGCAGGGTAACTCTGCCTTATAAAGCCGTAAGATCTCATGAGACTTATTCATTGTCACAAGAACAGCATAGGAAAGACCTGCCCCCATGACTCAACCTCCCACTGGGTCCCTCCCACAACATGTGGGAATTCAAGATGAGACTTGGATGGGGACACAGCCAACCCATATCATGGGGATTACAATTCAAGATGAAATTTGGGAGGGGACACAGCCAAATCATATCAGGTGGTGAAAGCCTTCACTCTCACACTGAATTTTCCTGAACACGGTGTCTCCTCTGCACCCCACACCTTGTTTTCTAACATAGTAGATTACAAGGCTGGCAGCTGGAAGACCAAGGCTCTTCCAGCTTATAGGAGTGAAGATTTTGAGGATGGTGCAAAGATGGAAGAACAATATATTTTCCCACGTACGGGAGAGGCCATCTATTTTGCCCGTAGTTAGTTGAGGATCCCTTCTTTGCTTCATAAGAACTTCAAAATTAATTTATCTCTAATCTGTGCCGTCAGTCACCAAATCTTCCAACTTGCTCAGGTCCTCTACCAACAGACACTTCAGTTACCTGTAGCTGTTGGATACAAATACTTGAGAAGCTCCTTAGAGGGGAAGTTGGTTGCATAATGTTTTCTGGAGCTCCTCTCAACTGCAATAGGCCTCTAGCTCGGACATTCACTCTCAGGACATGGGTGTCTTGTTATACCCTTTCCTACAGAGGCCTGGCCAAATCACCAGGGGATAATTGGCAGGTGGACTGAAGAACAGGGAGCTGCAGATGGATTCCCAAGGAGCTGTGATATCTAAGACAAAGGAAAAGGATCCCACAGTGGAGAGTGGATGTAGCCAGGTGGTTGCGGGGGAATGAAAGGAGTGAAGGGTGACAAGGCAGTCTCTCCACAAGGGAGCAGTGGCACCAAGTGTCAGATGCCACAAAGAGGTCAGTTAAGCAAGACCTGAATCCTTGAGAAATTGGGAGGCTGCTGATGAGCTCTGCAAGAGCAGTTCTAGTGAAGTGGTGGAGGTGGCAGCCAGGTTGCAGTGAATAACACAGAGAGTGAATGGCAAGGGTGATGGCTGCACAACAATGGAATTTTCTTAATGCTGCTGAAATGTACACCTAAAAATGGTTAAAATGGTAAATTTCACGCTATATACATTTAACCACACACACACACACAAAAAGACTAGAAAGTGGTCAAAAGAGAGACAGAGAGAGACTCTGGGACATAAGGAAAGAAGAGAGCTAGAAAGAAAGAAGATAGAAGCAATTTGGTCATACATTTCTATTTTGCTTTAGGGAGGGAGCAACTTGAGCAAGTTAATAGGCCAAGTGGGGGGAGTTGCTAAACATACATGACAGAGGACTTGGTGGTGCAAAAGAGGGAAATGGGGAAAATGAAGTCAAGGGCAAAGTAGAGTGACTGATCTTGGAAAGGAACTGTATTTGCATTATCTTCCAAAATCAGAGTGGAAGCAGGGAGGATGTGGAGCAGGAGAGACGCAGGCACTGAGGCGTGGAGGAGAGGGGAGAAAGAAGGCTGGGCTTCTGAGCTTAGTGGGCTGTGGCGGTAAGGGGGCTGGTGGGGCGGACAAGGCTGAAACCACCACTGTGGGGCTGGATAAGGGGATCACCCATCAGTATAAAAAAGGCCCTGATTTTTTTGTACTGATTTTATCAAGTAGCAAAGGGCAATGAGGAAATGCTTTTTCTGGTGAGCCATCTTTCTGTCTTTTCTTGGTCACTCACTCTCAGCTGTGAATTAGTTGTCTTGACTCCAGCTGCCAGAGTCTCCTCCGGAGAAAACTTAGACAAATGTTCCTCCACCCATTAGGCCGGTGTCTCCAGGAGCCTCCAGGTTGACTTAGCTAGAGTCGTCCACAAAATTCAGACTGGACTCCCAGGCTAAGCTCTGGGCAACCAGACACAGGTGTGAGGACAATCCCAGGAGCAGCCTTGGCAGCACATCCAGCAGAGCTGCTGAGACCAGTAGGCTTTCAGTCACTGGGCCCCATAACTTGGGCTTCCTGCTTAATCAACAAAGACAATACACACACACACCAGGCTGGGCAAGACCAGTGTCAGGATTCTCCCTTTGATTTCTGCTTTTCCTCTTTTATTATCACATGGTTGTTGTGATTGCTATTATTACTGTTATCATCACCATTATCATTGTCGTTGAATTTAACCCCATGGGATTTGGAATCCAACACAGAACATAGATAAATGCAGCATAAAAGCATTTTTATCTAGCCTGCCTCGTATATTAAGTTTCAGCTTTATAAGATTAAAACCAGCTGAGGTCTGAGGGCTTCCTCAGGCCCACTTGACTACCTTCAGGCACCCTGTGTGGTTTGCCACCCACAGTGGAGAAGATGCTTCTGGGATGCAGACGGCAGAGGATTGGAAAGGCTGGCAGGCAGGTGGTTGGAGAAGCCTCTCATAGCTTCTCAGGCCTGCAGCCATGGGATCCTAACCTCTGCTGCTCAGTGTTAATATTGCTCAAATCCCAGACCTCAGGCAAGACTCTGAGGGACAAGAAAACCCAAGGGACAAGAGAAAAGGGAAGGATAAGGGCCCTGCACCAACAGAGGGAATAGGGGCTAGTTTTGGGAAGTGGGCCAGGCCTGGCTTAAGGTGAACCTCACCATCATTTGCAGGCTACAGGCATTTGTACTAGCCTAAGAGAGGTGCAAAGGGGGAAGAAATCAAAGAGCAAAACCCATCATCATGGTCGGGGTTTGACCAGCAAGAATAAGCCCCTGGGAAAATGAACACTAAATGCCCCCACCCTGCTCCCCGCATTTCTCTTTGGAATTATGGCGGTATACCTGGGGCTTCTGGCAGAACTGATGCACTTTGTGGCTGGAGTTCTGAAGCTGAAAGTACAAGACAACAAAGACACTCTACTCCAAACCCACCTCACTCCCCCAGCAAGGCCTGCTGTGTTGAAAGTCTCTTTGCGGAATAATTCCCTGTTGGAAACATTCATTTCTTCAAGAAAATACATTTATCAAATTCTCACCTACACCTGCTTAAAACACAAGGCCTCTGAAGGATTTTACTCTGAGTGACCATTAGAAATGGTGTTCACACTGTGAATGAGTTTCGGTTCTCTGATAGGCAGTGTCTTCATCCCATCGAGATGCTATAATAAAATACCGTAAACTGGGCAGCTTATAAACAACAAAAATTTATTTCTTACAGTTCTGGAAGCTGAAGTCCAAGATCAAGGTGCTGGCAGATTCAGCGTCTGTTGAGGACTCATTTTTTGGTTCATAGATGGTGCCTTCTTGCTGTGTTCTCAGAAAATGGCGGGGGTGAGCTAAGCTCTCTGAGGTCTCTTTCCTAAGGGCACCAATCCCATTCATGAGAGCTTTGTGCATATGACCTAATCACCTCCCAAAGTCCCCACCTCCTAAAGCAATCGCCTTGGAAGCTAGGTTTCAACATAGGAATACTGAGAGGACATAAACATTCAGATAACAGCAGGCAGAGAGCTGGGGGTATGTGGTAGTGGAGTGGTGGACTGGGAGCTCAGACAGGATAAAGGCCTTGACACTGCCCATAGGCAAAATTCCCTGGACTTCATAAGGATCTCCAGAAGGCATTTAAAGACCACTTTCAACTCTAAATTTCCAGAGGCTGTGATGAGTGTCTCTTAGAATCTGGATTCCAACCCAGAGAGCCCTGGTTTGAAAGTATATGTTCTTCCAGCTTTACTTCATTCTGCAATTCTCTTTCACATGCTCCTCCAGGATGGCTCCTGGGACAGCTGCATTCCCTGGTTATCTTAGGAGATGGGTGTTCCCATTGTCTGTACTTAGAAGATGGATTGAAATCACCAAGTCTGCAGAAATGAAGAGAGGAAATCAAGCCTGTTGGTGCACAGATCTTTGCCCTTCTAACCCAGTTTGTGCTCATCTTTCCTAGAGGAAGGATCCAGGCAGAACCCAAGGGCCAGAGGACACCGTGTTTTAAGAGAAGCTCTTGGTCTCCTGGGAGCTCTTACTGATGTTGTGAGAGGAGAAGTGGACAAGGCTGGGGAAGCTGGAGAAGAGACCCTAGTCCCATCCTGGAAATAGATGAATGTCATTGTGATATCCCAAAAAGGAATAGAAATTGATTTCTTAAGAGAAAAACGGACTTAGGAATAAGAAGAATAGACTTCTATGTGAACGGCATAGAAACATAAGAACAGAAGGAAGAAGTGGCAAAAGAATAAAAAATACAAGCAAGATATTAAAAATGAAGAGAAATTACATGAAGATGCTAAGAACAATGAGGTATGTCTTTGGAGAATATCTAGCCTTTAATTTGCATTTTCTTCAAGATTAAAGAAATAATTACGGCCAGGCATTGCAATCGTTGCATCCAAGACGCTGGCCACAGCCAGGGAGGTGGAGCTGGGGCTGTATGCTTTGCAAACCGGTGGGACGGGAACAGGCAGGAGCCCCGCCCCCTATCGAGTTGGCAGGGCAGGAGCCCTGAGCTCCTGGGCGCAGCTGCAGCCGCCCAGCCAGGGCTCTGGGCATCCCTGAGCTCTGGGGGCCCAGGAAGTGCCCTCTGCCCCTGCACGCTCAGAGGGAGCAGTGCCTGCTCCCACTCCAAACCTCTCCCTGCTCCCAGTGCCCACTCCAGTGCCCAGATGCTGTCCAGACCTGGCCAGGTGTGCACATGCTCGGGGCTGCATTGACATGCCAGACCCCTGCCACCTCAGCCCCCTCCAGACTTTGGGCGCTGACAAGCACAGGAGAAAGGCGGGAGTTGGAGGAGCTGAGGGCAGCTCCACATGGGCCTGTAGGCACCCCTCCGCAGGAACAGCCTGGGCACCATGGAGGGCGTATTGATGGCAGGAGGCAGACAGGTTCCCGGGTGGAAAGGATTGGGTCCCCACTGAAACCCCACCTTCAAGCCAGGAAGGGCCTGAAGCCTGGGGGTTGGGCTGCCAGTTCCAGGCGAAGTCTGGAGCATGAAGAAAGGACTTCATGGCTGACTGTTCAGCCAATAAGATGGTGCTTTTTCCACGCCCACCCATGGCCACCCATGGACCAATCAGCACACACTTTCTCCCTTCTGCGCCTATTAAAATCCAGAACTCAGCCAGACTCACAGACATCAGGACTACCAGCTGCGGAAAGGAGCAATCCTCTTTGGGTCTCCTGAGAGCTGGTCTGTTGCTCAATGAAGCTCTCCACCTTGCTCACCCTCCAGTTGTCTACGTACTTCATTCTTCCTGGATGTGGGACAAGAACTTGGGGACTGTTGAATGGTGGGACTGAAAGAGCTGTAACACAAACAGAGCTGAAACATGCCCCCTGCTCACCACATTGTGGATGATGAGGAGGAGAGAAGAGCTGCAGCCCTTTGGGAACCCCAGACTTAGGGGCTCCCAAAGCCAGGGCTGTGACACCCTCTTTGGGGCTCTGCAATTCCTGGTGTCTCCAAGCTTCTGGGCGCCACCATGTTCCCCAGTGCCCACAGTGGAAGCTACTTGTGGTAGGCCTGGTTCAGCCACAGCTTTGCATGCAGCTGGCGCTTGTACCAGTGTCTGGAGCTGCCCACCCTGACACAGCTGGCATGCTTGGCTGTGCACAGTGGCCAAACCCCATGCTCACTTGCTCACACACCTCTTGCCGCTCTGTGCCTGGCTCGCCCATGGCAGGCATGGGATCCAGGCTGGTAGTGCTAGCCAAGCTCAGCCTGCCAGGCCAAGTGGGCAGAACGAACCCAGTGGGCCTGAGCAAAACTCAGGCAAAGGCTGCACCAGTTACAGAGGTTTCTGGCTGGAAAAGTGACAACCTAAGGATCATGTGGCAGTAGCATAAGGGCTACACCTTTGCTGTGCTAAGCCCCTGGATATCATAATTAATTTGTTATCACAGCAAAACTTATCCTATCCTGACTGATATAGTAACTATTCCTTGTAACTATCTAAACCAAACCTCAACTAGAGCTTTAAGATCAGAGTCAAGAGTAGCAGGCTTTAGGAGCAGTGATTGCATTGTATTATTCTTTTCACAAATTGATTTTTAAAATCAACTAATAACTTTCAATTACTCTCTTAAATCTAAAAAAAAAAGTACTTTTCATATAATTCCAAACTCTTGAATCTGTATGAGGGTGACATGCTTTTCTTTTCTTTTTTTTTTTTCATTTCTTGTTTAGTTTTTTTTTTTAATTTTTGTGGGTACATAGCATGTATATATATTTATGGGGTACATGAGATGTTTTGATAAAGTCATGCAATGTATAGTAATCACATCATGGAAGATGGGATACCATCTCCTCAAGCATTTATCCTCTGGGCCACAAACAATCCAGTTATACTCCCCCAGTTATTTTAAAACGTAAAATAAAATTATTATCAACCAAAGCCACCCTGTTGTGCTATCAAATACCAGGCCTTATTCATTCATTTCAACTATTTTTTTTTGTACCCATTAACCATCCCCACCTCCTCCTCACCCTGCCATTACCTTTCCCAGCCTCTCACAACCATCCTTCTACTCTCTTGAAATGATTTTAAGTCTTCAAAGTTCCTTTTATTTTTAGACTATCTTTCAAGCAAAGGGACTTTCTGTAATAACTAATAAGGACATCCCAAATATAGTGTTCCAGAATTAGAAGGCAGAACATTCAGAGTTGTGTTTCATTTGTGTTACAGAAGGAATTCACCAGATATTTTTGTAAAGTTAAGATAATTGAGCTAATGTTTATTATATAATATACTGATAACAATTTAAAAAACAGAATATCTCTCTGCCAGCTTCATGATTTATGTGAGACAACGTGGTGAAGGAAGAATGTTTCACAATTCATCCAACCCAGCTGGTTCCAAGAAGGAGACAAACACACGTCTGTGGTTAGAGTTCAAGATTATGCAGTGAGAATAATGTGCTGCTTGCTGACTTTCTCAACTCCACAGAGGTTTTATGAAGATTAAACAGTTAAAGCACTTTGAAGATGACAAATGCTTAAGTACTAAGCATTATTAGTATCTGAAACTATTACTACATCAATTCCTTGTGTAATCAAGTATTATTATTGGAAACTCTGCAAGAAAATCTAATCTTTGGAGATTTTCTACTCTATTTGCAGAACAAAGAGGCATGGGTATCATTTATCCTCAGTACTTTAGACATATGAATCAAGGATACCTAGACATTGAGTGAATATTTCTTTTTTGCCCGTATTTCAACTAATAAGAATTTTGTATTTATTGGCATGGCTCAAAAAGCAGTATGGTACTTTGGGGAGGAAATAAAACCCAAAATGATTTAAATTATAGAATAAGGAGAAAGTAAACTGGAACCTACTCAAACATTTTGCCTAAGATTAAAACCCCTCCTGGATATTCGAATACATTGCTCTTTAAGTAATTAAAACTATAACCTATGGTCTTTTGTAAATTCTGATAATTTATCTGTACTCAGTTTCAAGTATTTTCTGGTTGGCTTCTTTCCAAAGAGTACACCTGCATGTTAGTTGAACAATGTCTTACTGAAAGATGAAATTAACAAATTTTGTTTGATTTGGACCTTGATTAAATCTCTGAAGTTAGATACTTATATGCAGAGCCACATAAAGAATACTAGCTTAAATAATTCCACCAGGGACTATAGTAAGATTTTCATTTAGCTAATAGAACGTTAGAATATGCTTAGCTAATGAAAATGATTCATCTCTATTTTTCTATCAAACGTAAGAGTTGGAGGAGGATAAAGATTATTATTTAGGTATAGAACTTCTGGTATTTTAACTTTTTTCCCTTCCATGCTACATTCTCTTCTTAAATTTATTTACTTCGTTTCTGAACTTTGAAAAGTTCTTGACCTATTTTAATTCATGAAAACCCAATAAAACATTGTTTTGATTTTAAATAATTGGTCTTTAATGCCTTTGATCCCATTTTCCATGTAAAATAAAAGCCTAATGATTCTCGTTAAACGGAGGGAATAAAGTTTACTCCAGCAACTATTTTCATTTTATGAGGGCAACTTAAAGTTTTCACTTTTGTCCATTAATTATATGGGAATGTTGCAAATGTTGGAAGATAGGATTTGTTTCCAATTTTGATCTCAATTGCAGTTACAGCTTTGTACAGAATTAGCACATAACTAAGAGGTGCACCATCCACCTCTCCGTCATCCTCCAGAGTACAGGTGTGTTCAGTAAGAATCTGGCATCCTTCACAGCTGTGCTACAATATCTGAGCAATTATGCTTTCCAGTGAGGCTCACACCAGAATGACCCCATCTTGCTGCCAGAGTGTGCAAACTCTCCTGACAGTCCAACATGTGGACTTTACCCAGTCTTGACAGGAAAGTATGTTGCTGGCTTTTCCTGCCATGCTCTCTGAGGCCCAAAACCATGATGTAGTCAAGATTGGGAAAGAAACCTCAGTAAGAAAACAGCCTTTTGGTTGCACCTAGTGTGCCTCCTAGGTTGCATCTCAAAAGTTTTGCAAACTGCCTTGGAAAAAGTAATTAATGTTTGAGATTTTTTTAAAAAGATTATTCAATTCTACAATAAAATATTAGAGAAACAAATAAATAAGGACAGATGAAACTAAGCATAGATGTAGGTATCATGGGGGACATATTAGACAAGAAAGAAGTAGAGTATATGTGTGCAAAACATGGACTGGAATAGATGGAAGGACCAAGGAGGAACTCACTATTCATGGGGCATGTAATGCATCGAATTTTCATGAGGCTCTAAATATTCATGAGATATTTGAATATCCACCTGGTGATAGTACCCATTTAAACTCCATTTTTTCTCAACCCACCACTTAGTTTGGAGTGCTTTGTTATGCAGCGATAGTATTTGGGGGACACTGTAACCAACAGGACACTAATACTCTGCAGAACCACTGCCCAAAGAGAAGAAGTAGTATCTGCATCTTTGAAGGCCATATGTCTCTAGTTTATATATTATAGTATATAGCATATATTATAATTCTATTAATATACATATATAAAGAGCTCTTATAAATCAATAAGAAAATATGAAACAAGTGGTGGAGCCAAGATGGCCAAATAGGAACAGCTCCAGTCTACAGCTCCCAGCGTGAGTGATGCAGAAGACGGGTGATTTCTGCATTTCCAACTGAGGTACCGGGTTCATCTCACTGAGGAGTGCTGGACAGTGGGTGCAGGACAGTGGGTGCAGCTCACTGTGCATGAGCCGAAGCAGGGCAAGGCATTGCCTCACCTGGGAAGTGCAAGGGGTCAGGGAATTCCCTTTCTTAGTCAAAGAAAGGGGTGACAGATGGCACCTGGAAAATTGGATCACTCCCACCCTAATACTGCGCTTTTCCAACAGGCTCAACAAACGGCATACCAGGAGATTATATCCCGCACCTGGCTCGGAGGGTCCTACACCCATGGAGCCTTGTTCATTGCTAGCACAGCAGTCTGAGATCAAACTGCAAGGTGGCAGCAAGGCTGGGGGAGGGGCGCCCTCCATTGCCAAGGCTTGAGGAGGTAAACAAAGCGGCCAGGAAGCTCAAACTGGGTGGAGCCCACCACAGCTCAAGGAGGCCTGCCTGCCTCTGTAGGCTCCACCTCTGGGGGCAAGGCACAGACAAACAAAAGACAGCAGTAACCTCTGCAGACTTAAATGTCCCTGTCTGACAGCTTTGAAGAGAGTAGTGGTTCTCCCAGTATGCAGCTTGAGATCTGAGAACGGACAGACGGCCTCCTCAAGAGGGTCCCTGACCCCCAAGTAGCCTAACTGAGAGGCACCCCCGAGTAGGGGTGGACTCACACCTCACACGGCCGGGTACTCCTCTGAGACAAAACTTCCAGAGGAACGATCAGGCAGCAACATTTGCGGTTCACCAATATCCACTGCTCTGCAGCTACTGCTGCTGATACCCAGGCAAACAGGTTCTGGAGTGGACCTCCAGCAAACTCCAACAGACCTGCAGCTGAGGGTCCTGACTGTTAGAAGGAAAACTAACAAACAGAAAAGACATCTACACCAAAAACCCATCTGTACGTCACCTTCGTCAAAGACCAAAGGTAGATAAAACCACAAAGATGGGGAAAAAACAGAGCAGAAAAACTGGAAACTCTAAAAATCAGAGCACCTCTCCTCCTCCAAAGGAATGCAGCTCCTCACCAGCAATGGAACAAAGCTGGATGGAGAATGACTTTGACAAGCTGAGAGAAGAAGGCTTCAGAAGATCAAACTACTCTGAGCTAAAGGAGGAAGTTTGAACCAATGGCAAAGAAGTTAAAAACCTTGAAAAAAAATTAGATGAATGGATAACTAGAATAATCAATGCAGAGAAGTCCTTAAAGGACCTGATGGAGCTGAAAACCATGACATGAGAACTACGTGATGAATGCATAAGCCTCAGTAGCTGATGTGATCAACTGGAAGAAATGGTATCAGTGATGGAAGACGAAATGAGTGAAATGAAGTGAGAAGAGAAGTTTAGAGAAAAAAGAATAAAAAGAAATGAACAAAGCCTCCAAGAAATATGGGACTATGTGAAAAGACAAAATCTACATCTGATTGGTGTACCTGAAAGTGATGGGGAGAATGGAATCAAGTTGGAAAACACTCTGCAGGATACTATCCAGGAGAACTTCCGCAATTTAGCAAGGCAGGCCAACATTCAAATTCAGGAAATACAGAGAACACCACAAAGATACTCCTCGAGAAGAGCAACACCAAGACACATAATTGTCAGATTCACCAAAGTTGAAATGAAGGAACAAATGTTAAGGGCAGCCAGAGAGAAAGGTCGGGTTACCCACAAAGGGAAGCCCATTGGACTAACAGCTGATCTCTCGGCAGAAACTCTACAGGCCAGAAGAGAGTGGGGGCCAATATTCAACATTCTTAAAGAAAAGAATTTTCAACCCAGAATTTCATATACAGCCAAACTAAGCTTCATAAGTGAAGGAGAAATAAAATACAGACAAGCAAATGCTGAGAGATTTTGTCACCACCAGGCCTGCCCTAAAAGAGCTCCTGAAGGAAGCACTAAACATGGAAAGGAACAACCAGTACTAGCCACTGCAAAAACATGCCAAATTGTAAAGACCATCAAGGCTAGGAAGAAACTGCATCAACTAACGAGCCAAATAACCAGCTAATATCATAATGACAGGATCAAATTCAAACATAACAATATTAACCTTAAATGTAAATGGGCTAAATGCTCCAATTAAAAGGCACAGACTGGCAAATTGGATAGAGTCAAGACCCATCTGTGTGCTGTATTCAGGAGCCCCATCTCACATGCAGAGACACACATAGGCTCAAAATAAAGGGATGGCGGAAGATCTACCAAGCAAATGGAAAACAAAAAAAGGCAGGGGTTGCAATCCTAGTCTCTGATAAAACAGACCTTAAACCAACAAAGATCAAAAGAGACAAAGAAGGCCATTACATAATGGTAAAGGGATCAATTCAACAAGAAGTGCTAACTATCCTAAATATATATGCACCCAATACAGGAGCACCCAGATTCATAAAGCAAGTCCTGAATGACCTACAAAGAGACTTAGACTCCCACACAATAATAATGGGAGACTTTAACACCCCACTGTCAACGTTAGACAGATCAATGAGACAGAAAATTAGCAAGGATATCCAGGAATTGAACTCAACTCTGCACCAAGCAGACCTAATAGACACCTACAGAACTCTCCACCCCAAATCAACAGAATATACATTCTTCTCAGCACCACACCACACCTATTCCAAAACTGACCACATAGTTGGAAGTAAAGCATTCCTCAGCAAATGTAAAAGAACAGAAATTTTAATAAACTGTCTCTCAGACCACAGTGCAATCAAACTAGAACTCAGGATTAAGAAACTCACTCAAAACCGCTCAACTACATGGAAACTGAATAACCTGCTCCTGAATGACTACTGGGTACATAATGAAATGAAGGAAGAAATAAAGATGTTCTTTGAAACCAACGAGAACAAAGACACAACATACCAGAATCTCTGGGACACATTCAAAGCAGTGTGTAGAGGGAAATTTAAAGCACTAAATGCCCACAAGAGAAAGCAGGAAAGATCTAAAATTGACACCCTAACATCACAATTAAAAGATCTAGAGAAGCAAGAGCAAACACATTCAAAAGCTAGCAGAAGGCAAGAAATAACTAAAATCAGGGCAGAACTGAAGGAAATAGAGACACAAAAAACCCTTCAAAAAATCAATGAATGAATCCAGGAGCTGGTTTTTTGAAAAGATCAACAAAATTGATAGACCGCTAGCAAGATTAATAAAGAAGAAAAGAGAGAAGAATCAAATAGACGCAATAAAAAATGACAAAGGGGATATCACCACCAATCCCAGAAAAATACAAACTACCATCAAAGAATACTATAAACACCTCTACGCAAATAAACTAGAAAATCTAGAAGAAATGGATAAATTCCTCGACACATAAGACTTCCAAGACTAAACCAGGAAGAAGTTGAATCTCTGAATAGACCAATAACAGGCTCTGAAATTGAGGCAATAATTAATAGCTTACCAATCAAAAAAAGTCCAGGACCAGATGGATTCACAGCCTAATTCTACCAGAGGTACAAGGAGGAGCTGGTACCATTCCTTCTGAAACTATTCCAATCAATAGAAAAAGAGGGAATACTCCCTAACTCATTTTATGAGGCCAGCATCATCCTGATACCAAAGCCAGGCCGAGACGCAACAAAAAAAGAGAATTTTAGACCGTGTGAGGTGTCAGTCCTCCCCTACTGGGAGATGCCTCCCAGTTAGGCTACTCGGGGGTCAGGGACCCACTTGAGGAGGCAGTCTGTCTGTTCTCAGATCTCAAACTCCAGGCTGGGAGAACCACTACTCTCTTCAAAGCTCAGCTGGAAATTCAGAAATCGCCCATCTTCTGCGTCGCTCACACTGGGAGCTGTAAACTAGAGCTGTTCCTATTCGGCCATCTTGGAACCTCCCCACTAACATTCTTATAAGAGGGAATTCTGTCATGGACCCCACTTAAAGAGATTTAGTTGTGGAAGAATCCAAAGGATCCCTCCATGGAAGTGGTCCCAGGGCATGACAGGCAGGGAGAGTACTGGGGTTTATGACCCTCCACTCACCCTCATTTCCTTCTTCATTCTTTTGCTACCTGAACTTCCATTTATAGCCTTAATACCGAAAGTGGAGTTCGGCAGCATTGTATCACCTGGGAGTTTGTTAGTAATGCAGCATCTCCAACCCATCCCAGATTAACTTTGTCAGAATCTGCATTTTAACAAAACCCCCAGGATATTCCTAAACACACATAAAACTGAAGAGGTACGATGTGTAGAGCAGAATTTGTGTATTCTCCTACTCCACTTATTTACATCCACATTCATTTGTATCTGGGTGACTCTAGAAAGAGAAGCACTATTCTTCCTTCTTTCTCCTTCTTCATCAGACCCCACCTTGAACAAACCTGTGGTTGGCAGCATTTTACTCCTGTACCCATCTTTTCCCATTTTCTGTTCCCTTCCTGTTGATAAATGTCTGCACAGGCTCCTCAGGCTCCATGTATCCTCCTCCCAGAGAGGCTGGAAACACACCCTTAGAAGCAGCTGTGGTGGCTTGGTGAGGCTGCCCTGCATCTTCTCGTGTCAGCTGTCATGCCCAGGGTACAGAAGTTTACGACTTGTTTCTTGTACTTCCAAATGTTCAGTCAAGGTGCCACAGTGTTGAGGTGGCAGGACTGATGACTTGTTTAAATATTTTCCCAACTCTGCTCTTTCAGACCATTTCTTCCAAGTTGATGTCACTTGTGTAGGAATACGAATGTAGTGAAATCATGAGGATCATTATCAAGTTTGCCTTTTAGCTTTTATATTGATTAAGTCACTAGACTGGCAGATTCCACCAGCTTCAAATCTACTCTGAAAGGAAGAGTATTTGGAATTGGCCCTCAGATCTTTTCATAGGTGTTTGGATGTACTCTAGGTGTATGCTTTTGCTTCCTAGACATGGCAAGAAATTATTTTTTAAGTCCAGAAAGGGTAAAGATGTCTTTTGGTATCTGGATTACTTGGAGAATCCACCTGTATCCACAAAGTTAAAATGCTTTCACCTGAATGCGCGCGCGCACACACACACACACACACACACACACACACACACACCCCTACATACAGGCACAAAATTTCTGTGCTTTATGGTCCACACTTATTATCCCTGAAGAGTAAAAGATGAAAAATAACAGAAACACAAAGTTTATCTCTGGAAAGAAAAACTAACCATAATGGTATGTATAACTGGTGATGTTATGCATGTCATAGGCATTAGAATACTAAGAACAATTCGGCTGACAAGACATCGCTGGTTATACAATCCACATGATGCCCTCTTGATGATACAGAAAACAGTAGTTTTAGTTGAAGTTAAGGTGGTTAGAAGATTAAATTTAACTGATGAAGAGTAAAAGAGAAACCAGCCATTGTTCATTCTCTTTGGGCACATGTATCTCTGAGAAGGTAAAAAGCAGAGAGTAAGAGGGAATATCAAAAGAGATTTAAAACAAGCTTAATATAATTTTCACTTATAATTTGGTCAGCCACCTAGATAAACTGAGACTATCTCAGACTCTGATTAAACAAATAATGGTTCCAAAGAGCATTTCTTGATGAGACCAAGGAGACATCTGAGCTCTCTCTGAAGACTTCCTCTGCCACCCAGAGCGGATATCTGTACCCTGGACCCACCTCCATTAAACAGGTTTTTCTACTCTAGCCATGGGAACAGAGTTACTCAGAGATTTAAATGTTCAGCAACACAAACCCACACTGCTTATCCAACATCAACAAATAGTCATACTAAAGATCAAAACCAACACTCACATAGACAACAAAAGAAAAGTAGATATATTGGACCTCATTAAAAGTTAAAACTTAGGATACTCTCAACAGAATGAAAAGGCGATCCACAGAATGAGAGAAAATATTTACAAATTATAAATCTAATAAGGGGTTAATTTTTGGAATATACAAAGAACTCCTACAACTCAACAATAAGAAGACAAACACACCAATGGAAAAATGAGCATAGGACCTGAGTTGACATTTCTCCAAAGAAGATACACAAATGGCCAATCAGCACATGAAAATATGCTCAGCAACATTAGTCATCAGGAAAATACAAATACAAATCACAGTGAGGTACCACCTCACCCCTACTAGGATGTCTATAACATTAAGAAAAATAACATAACAAGCATCTGTGAGAATGGAGAGAAACTAGAACTCTTGTGCATTGCTGGTGGGAATGTAAAATCATGCTAGAACTCTGGAAAACCATTTGGTGGTTCCTGAAGAAAATTAAACAGAGAATTACCACCACTGATCCAGCAATTCCACTCACAGGTATATATCGCAAAATAATTAAAAGTGGGGACTAAAACGGATAGTTGTACGTCAATGTCCAGAATAGCATTATGCACGATAAGCAAAAGGTGAGAACAACCCTAGTGTCTATCAATAGATGAACGCATAAACAAAATGTAGAATATGCATACAATGGAATATTATTCTGCCATAAAAATACTGCAGCTCTGATACATGCTGCTGCATGAATGAGCCTTGACAACACTATGCTAAGTGAAATCAGCCAGAAGCAAAATGACAAATATTGTATGATTATGCTTATATGAAATATCTAGAGTAGGCAAATTCATAGAGATGGGAAGTAGATTTAAGGTTATTCAGGGCTGGGGGCAGGAGAAATCAGTTATTGCTCAATGGGTACAGTTTTTGTTTGGGGCGATGAAAAAGTTTAAGAAAAAAATAGTGGTGATGGTTGCATAGCATTGTGAATGTCATTAATGTCACCGAGTTGTACATCTGAAATGATTAAAATGGCAAATTTTATGTGTGTGTATAGATATAGATAGTGTGTGTATATATGCAGATATGTGTATATATATACACATAATCTATATATGCATATAGATCCATCTATAATATATACACATATATATACATATATGTACATATATATCATGTATATATACACATCTGTAATTTTTTTTAACACCAACACTTAGCAGACCAGATATCTTCATAGCATTACTGACACCTAAGTGCCCAGTATTCTGGTTACTTTTACAGGTGATATGAAAAAAGACATCAGGCATTTGTGAAACAAGATAATAAGACTCCAGAAGAGAGCACTGTAACTAATTTATGCATTTGCAGCGATGAAGAGTATCTCTCAAATCTGTTCCCATCCTTGTGGCCTCATCCTAGTTTAGACTTTGTCTCTTACCTGGCTACCTCCATATTAGCAGCCACATAAACCATCTTTATGCCTCTGGCCTCTCCCTTTCTCAACTCATCCTCCTCAGTGTGAGTCAAATCACCCCAAATGCACTCAAAGGCCTCTCAGAACCTTCAGAAGGAGGGGCCACGTGGGAGGAAACCACAACCACAGCTGTCTCGCCCTGGCCCTGCCACCTCCACTTGCTCTCCCTACAATGTACCTGGGACATTGACTGCTGCCTCTAGGGGAGCTTCTCTCAAAGGGTGGAGGGAAAATACTGCAGGCCAGAGGCTGCCAAACTGCAGCCATGGGCCAAATCCAGCTCACTGCTATTGTTATATGGCTTATGAGTTAAGAATGGTTTTCAGGGCCAGGCGTGGTGGCTCAGACCTGTAATCTCAGCACTTTGGGACACCGAGGCAGGATCATGAGGTCAGGGGTTCAAGACTGGCCTGGCCAACATGGTGAAACCCCGCCTCTACTAAAAATGCAAAAATTAGCTGGGTGTGATGGTGGGAGACTACACTGGGACAATGCTTGTAAGATTCTTAGAAGCCCTGTGTTTCATTTGTGTTGTTTGTTTTTACACTCTTTTAAAAACATTTTATTTGGAAATACTTTCAAACTTACAAAAAGTTGCAAAAAATAAAAATAGTACAAGGTATAGCCTGTATAAACTTCACTCACTCAGACTTGCCTTTTATATTAATTTCCTAGGGTTGCTATAACAAATTACCACAAACTGGGGAGCTTAAAACAACATAAATTTATTCTCTCACAATTGTCTAGGCTAGATGTCCAAAATCAAGGTGTATGGGGCCATGCTGTTTCTGAAGACTCCAAAGGAGAATCTGCTGTGTGCTCTCCTAGCTTCTGATGTTGCCAGCAATTCTTGGGATTCCTTGGCTTGTGGACACATCTCTCTGATCTCTACCTCCATCATCACATGTTCTTGTATGTCTCTTCACATTGTCTTCCCTCTGTGTATGTCTGTCTCCGTATCTCCTCTTCTTTCCTTATAAGGATATCAGTCATATTGCATTAAGAGTCCACTCTAGCCGGGTGTGGTCACTCACACTTGTAATCCTAGCACTTTTTGGAGGCCAAGGTGGGAGGACCACTTGAGCCAGGAGTTCAGGACCAGCCTGGGCAACATTGGGAGATCCTGTCTCTACAAAAAATATTTTTTTAAAAATTAGCTGGGCATGGTGGAGTGTACCTGTGGTCCCAGCTACTCAGGAGGCTGAGATGAGAGGATTGCTTGAACCTGGGAGATGGAGGCTGAGCTGTGATCGTGCCACTGCACTCCAGCCTGGGCAACGAACAAGAACCTGTATAAAAAAATTTAAAAAAAAAAGAAAAAGGAAAAGGAAAAAAAAGCCTACTCTACTCCAGTATGACCTCATCTTAACTTAATTACATTTGCAACAACTGTGTTTCCCAATAAAGTCACATTCTGAGGAGGATATGAATTCTTAGAGGACATTATTCAACCTAATACACCTATTATTAACGTTTTATCCCACTGGATTTCTCTCTCTTTTCCTTCTCTGCTTATATACATTATTCTTTTCCTGAATCATTACATCACATTACATGCACCATAGTCTTTTTACTATTACATAGTTAGTATGTACTTCCCACTAATAGGGGTATTCCCTTGCATAACCACAGTTGACAATGGTCAACTTTGTAAATTTACATCCACACTTTTATTTATGCTTCCATTAGTATTCCAATTTTGTTAGTTAATTGAGTAATTTCCTTTAAAGCATTTTGCCCCTCCAAAACAATATCTAGTCTAGGGGAAAGTATTGCATTTTGTTGTTATATCTTTCTAAGCTTCTTAATCTGGAACATTTCTATAGCCTTTCTTTATATTTCATAACATTGACATTTTTGAAGATTACAGACTGCCCCCAGTTTTTTTTAACAGTGCATTCTTCATTTTGTATTTGTCTATTTTCTCCCATTATTAATTTGAGATTGTGAATTTTATCTGGAACACTGGATAAGTGATGTTGTGTCCTTCTCATGGGATCATATCTGGATATACACAATGTCCATCTGTTCTTCATTGGTGTCATTAATTTTGATCAGCTGGTTAAGGTCTTCCCCAATATTTCAATGGCGTGATTGTTTTTTTCCCTCTCTTCCAATGATAAGCATCTTGAAGAACAATGCAAATATCCTGTTCCTCATTAAAATTTCTCTCTGAGTTTGCTATCCATTGATGATTCTTTACCATGATGGTTATAAAATAATAATTTCTTATCCAGGACTGCACTGACATTTACCAGTAGCTCCCTGGTATTCTACTGTAAGCAAAAGACCTCCCTTTCTCTTGCCTATTTGTTTATATATTATTGTAATAAATGCATGAAATCCTATTTTTTAATGGTTTAGAATTACTGCAGCTAATTATTTGGAAGATCAATTTGTCCCACATTTGGCTAGTGGGATGCCCCTTTAAGCTGGCTCTTGTGTTGTTGGCACATATTCCCATAAGACTTTTCAGCTTCTGACTTTCTGGTTTAACAAGTTGTTTCAGGCTTATCTTGTACCTGTCTTAGAATCAATCATTTCTCCAAAGAGCCCTGGTTCCTTTCAGTGGGAAATGGTATCAGAAACCAAGGAATGGGTGGAAAGGTATGCTCATCCCTACTGGTCCTTTCAGTGGACAGAGCTAGGAAATATATGGGTGTATGTACACACACATACACATACATACAAATGTAAACATGCATATACAATTACATACAAGTATTTTAGAAATCTTAAGTTCAAACTGAAACCTCCAATTCCAACCCACACCCACAAGATGTTTTCTTGCCTTCCCCCATCTCATATTTGTTATTCTCTCCCTCTATAGTGAGAACTCTGTTTGCCAACAACATTAGCATATTTACTCATTTGATCCATAATACGTTTAGGATAACACATTTGAGATAGTTCCAAATTTGCTTTGCCTATAGCACTACAATGAAGAAATCTACTGTGAAGAGTTAAGAATTTATTTGCACTTCTCCCCATCTCTTCCACACTCAGCTCAATGTTTAGCTTCCACTTATAAGTGAGAACATGCAGTATTTGGTTTTCTGTTCCTGCATTAGTCTGCCTAGGATAATGGCCTCCAGCTCCTTCCATGTTGTTGCAAAGGACATAATCTCATTCTTCTTTATGGCTGCACAGTATTTCATGGTCTATATGTACCACATTTTCTTTATCCAGTTTATAATTGATGGGCATTTAGGTTGTTTCTATGTCTTTGCTATTGTGACTAGTGCTGTGATGAATATATGCATGCATGTGTCTTTGTGGTACAATGATTTATATTCCTTTGGGTATATAAACCAAAGTGGGATTGCTGTGTCCAATGGTAATTCTGTTTTAAGTTCTTTGAGAAATCGCCAAACTGCTTTCCGTGATGACTGAACTAATTTACATTTTCACCAGCAGTGCAGAAGCATTCCCTTTTCTCCACAACCTCGACAGCATCTGTTATTTTTTGACTTTTTAGTAATAGCCCTTCTGAGTGGTTTGAGATGGTATCTTACTGTGGTTTTGATTTGCATTTCTCCAATGATTAGTAATGTTGAGCATTTTTTCCATATACTTGTTGGCCACTTGAATGTGGTTCTTTAAAAACTGTCTGCTCATGTTCTTTGCCCACTTTTTAATACGGTTGTTTGGTTTTGGCTTGCAAATTTAAGTTCCTTATAGATTCCGGATATTAGACCTTTTGTCAGATGCATAGTTTGCAAATATTTTCTCCCATTCTGTTAGGTTGTCTGTTTATTCTGTTGATAGTTTCTTTTGCTGTGCAGAAGCTCTTAGGTTTAGTTAGGTCCTGTTTGTCGATGTTTGTTTTTGTCACAATTGCTTTGGTGTTTTTATCATGAAGTATTTGCCAGGAATTTCCCAAATTATCTTCTAGGGTTTTAATAGTTTTCAATTTTAGATTTAGGTCTTTAATCCATCTTGAGTCAATTTTTGTATATGGTGTAGGGAAGGGGTCCAGCTTCAATCTTCTGCATGTGACTAGCCAGTTATCCCAGCACCATGTATTGAATAAAGAGTCCTTTCCCCATTGCTTTTTCTGGTGAATATTGTCAAAGATCAGGTAGTTGTAGGTGTGCAGCATTATTTCTCTATTTTGTTCCATTGGTCTGTGTGTCTGTTTTTGTACAAGTATCATGCTGTTTTGGTTATTGTAGCTTTGCAGTATAGTTTGAAGTCATGTAATGTGATGCCTCCAACTTTGTTCTTTTTGCCTACGATTGCCTTGGCTATTCAAGTTTTTTCTGGTTCCATATGAATTTTAAAATAGTTTTTTTTCTAATTCTGTGAACAATTCAATTGGTAGATTGATAGGAATAGCATTGAATCTGTAAATTGCTTTGGGCAGTATGGTCACTGTGACACTATTGATTTTTCCTATCCATGAGCATGGAATGTTTTTCCATTTGTTTGTGTCATCTCTGAGGCAGTGTTTTGTAATTCTTGTTGTAGCGGTCTTTCACCTTCTTGGTTAACTGTATTCCCAGGTATTTTATTCTTTTTGTGGTTATTATGAATGGGATTGCTTTCTTGATTTGTTTCTCAGCTTAGATGTTGTTGGTTTACAGGAATGCTACCGATTTTTTATGTTAATTTTGCATCCTGAAACTTTGCTGAATTTGTGTATCAGATCAAGGAGCTTATGGGCAGAGATTATTAAGTTTTCTAGCTGTAGAATTATATCATCTGCAAACAGAGATACTTTGACTTCCTCTTTTCCTATTTGGATGCCTTTTATTTCTTTCACTTGCCTGATTCCTCTGTCTAGGATTCTGAGTACTGTGTTGAATAGGAGTGGTGAAAGAGGGCATCCTTGTCTTGTTCCAGTTTTCAAGAGGAAGACTTCCAGCTTTTGGCCATTCAGTATGATGTTGGCTGCTCCATTCCTATTCTTATTAACTTAACCTTATTCTTATATTTGAAGAATAATGACACACTTTCAAAAATCAAGGAAGTTTCACTCCCTTTCTTCCCATTTACACTCCATTTTCCCTACCTCTAACTGGTTACTATTTTCTGGTTAATCCATCTTGTATTTCTTTTTTGTAATGATAAGTAGTTATATGTACCTTTTCTTATTTTCCTTTCATCCTTTCACAAAACTATATAGCATACTATATATAGTCTTATATATATCTGTTCCAGATGTAAGTATACACTAGTATAATCTAGGCATACTGTATGTACTCCTTAGCACTTTGCTTTTTTAAATTATTGTTTCCTAAAAGTCACTCCATAACAGTTCATAGAGATCATCCTTATTCCTTTTTCATAGCTGCACAGTACTCTGCTGTGTGTATGCAATCAATCTCCTTTGCTTTGACATGTAGGTAGTTTCCAACAGTTTTCAATGATAAATGATGTTACCATGGGTAGCATTGTGCATATAAATTTCTGTGTCATTGGAGATATGTCCCCTAGGTAAATTTCTAGCAAAGGTATTTCTGAGTTGAAGAATAAGTGCATATGCAGTTTTGTTAGAACTTGCCAAATTCCCCTACATATGGGATCTATCCCATTTTGCAGATCCAACAGCAAAGTACAAAACGTCCTGTTTCCCACAGTCTTACCAACAGAGTTCATTGTCACACTTTTGAATGTTTGCAAATCTATTGAGTAAGAAATGGTATCTCGGTATAGTTTTCATTTGCATTTCTCTTACTATGAGTGAGGGTAAACATCCTTTCTTATGGTTTGAGGTCATTTTCGTAGCTCTGTGAATTGTCGGTGTTTTGCTCATTTTTCTAAGACTTTTTGGTCTTTTTTTTTTCTCTCGACTTTTGAATTTTTTTTTAAGCTAGAGATATTAGTCCTTTATCTGCGATACTTGTTACAAATATTTTCTCCTACTTTTATTGCCTCTGAATTTCAGGTCATAGTTAGAAAACCTTT
Organism: Homo sapiens; assembly: GCF_000001405.40. Lineage (NCBI taxonomy): Eukaryota > Metazoa > Chordata > Mammalia > Primates > Hominidae > Homo > Homo sapiens. The sequence goes on along the minus strand of NC_000002.12, from coordinate 20,862,794 downwards.
CCCTAACTGAAGTTAAAGTGAAAGTCACCCATGTTTTCTTCTAGTACTTTTGTGATTTTCTTTAGCCAACTTTGGTATTCACTTAATTCCCAAGGTGTTTTTGTTTTTGTTTTCCTCCGAAGAACTCTGACTTTTTTGTTAGTTCAGCTATTCATTTTGAAAAAGTCATGGGTGTTGATGAATGTGTTAATTAATTTGATTGTAATTATTACACAATGTATACATATATCAAATCATTATGTTTTGCACCTTGGAAAGATTCCATCTTTGTCAATTAAATATTTTTAAATAAAAATTATGTGAAATAAAATAAAATGAGCTTGGAAATAAATAAAGTATTTTGTCTAGCTGTTTCAGTGGTATTTATAGGTAGAATCATTCAGGGTATTGAGTCTGTCTTGCTGCTGGAAATATAAATAAACTAATCTTTTCTCTGAAGCCCTACAAGAAGATCATATAGTTTAGCCATCCAATTCCTAAACACATATTCTTACAACAACATGCTAATCCTTTTTAGAAATGTGCTTTTGGATCATCATACTATTTTATTTTAAAGCTATTGAAAATAAAAATTACCATTACACTATAATAGGTAAACTACACTCAACTCACTAGCATTGTTAAAACCAGGTCCATAAAGCGGTAAGGATTATTCTTGAAGAGGTATGGATTAGCTGCCTTACAAATTTACTTATAACACCAGCAGGTTGCTTTTCTCTCCCATCTTTTTTTTTTCTTGTTGATTTTTTGAGTGAACCATTATGTGTAAAATCAGATTTATCAAAGAAAAAAGATTTAATTTTATGTTGTGGAATAGTGCATGATAACTTTTCTAAAAGATGCTTTCTGTATTTGCTTAAAATAAAATACAGATTTAGATTAAATACCTAAATACAGATTACTTAGCTGAATATGTATTTTTTAGAGGAAAAACTTTAAGCAAAAGCAAGTTTAATTTGAAAATATGGTACTTGAATTCTTTATGTGACTAGCAAAATATTAAGACAATTCAAATTTTTCTCAAGATAAGAACCCAACAGAAGCATGCTATTCAGGATCAGTGATATTAGTTTAACAGACAAATGAAATTCAAATGATTTTAATAATTAATTAGAAATTTTCAATAGTCCTTATCAATGCACAAATGTACTTTATTAGGAGGTTATTAACCATTATAAGGTTCCCCTATGGCTTTCTCTGTTCTTCAGACTTGATAAAGCATGATAGCTCATACTGTACACATGGCTTTTTTATAGCCAAAAAAGTGCCAGAGTTTCACATAGTAGCATTTCCATTTTTCAACAATATTATAGATAAAAATGAAACTCAGATTTTTGGAAAATCCCTCTTTCTAGTCCCAATATCTGTTCCTGGACTTGATCCAGAGCAGTTGTTATTTCTGGCACTTGGAGCTTTTGAAGTCATTTCCACAGACATTGCTCTGAGCAGGTCTATACATAAGTGCAGAGATTTCATGCAGGCTCTATCCAAGGAAACTTTAGTTTCCTATCAGTTGATTTTGGGTTCCCTACCCTCCAAACTTCACTGTAAATTCTCTTATCTTTGGATTTGGTAAAATGTTTTAGATGAACTGTTGGTTAAAAGAAAAAGCTGATCGATTACCAGACAAAACATAATCTCCACTGTCAAAGATACATTTTGAAAATCATTGTAATTTTTAATAATTAAGTGTAAAACTCTGAAAACATATCTTCCCTTAAAATTTTTTTTCCCACAAAATCCTCCTAGAATTCACATTGTATAAAGTGTATTCTTTCTTAATTTCCTAGTTTCTAGCTACTTCCAAGTGTCTCTGTTGCTGGAACTTTGCAGAGTGTTTGCTTAATAAATATTTGTGGACTGAAAGAAGAATCAGATTATAATAGACAGTATATGAGGACATGGCAAATCTCTTAGATCTAAAATGGTTCAGATGATGGTCTGATACCATATAATTTATAATTTAAGTAGATTATAATATGGAGCTATAGCCAGGTAAGTCTTTAGTTCTCAGGTGAGAAAGTTATTGTCTTCATAGTTGGCTGTGGATATGGTAGGATACATAAGCAGCAACACCAGGCTATTATTAAATTAATCTAAGAATGTGAAATATTTGAGGGCCAAGGCTATGGATAATATCAAAGGAAACTAAGTATACTGAAACTGCATGATGTCTGATGTGAAATATCTATAGAAAATTGGAAACTTCCTTCCTTTGCTCTGGCTCATGGTAGGTTTTAAACTGCATTTACCAACTTGGTTCTTGTCTGAAACTGACGACAATCTTATGGGGCAGGAGGCTCAGAAAGTCCCTGTCTTTTTGAGGGGTGAAGAATTTTAACCTCAGGAGGGTTTGTTGACCTTCTAAGGTTTTCCAGCATTATTGGCAGGTTTTGGACTGAAACACAGACTTCTAGACTCTTCATCAAGTGCTCTTTCTCATTCTAACATCAGGAGAAAAGAAAACAAAGCATAAGAAGAAAGAAAAAGAAAAAAGTTTAATTTCATAGGTTGTTACAAATGATAGGCTTATATTAAAAAGTATTTTAAAATGTAATAAATATGGTGAACTTCGTAATAGATTTCCTGGGAAAAGTTTCTAATGGTTCAATGCATTTACACATGTCAGTCTTCAAATCCAGCCCTTCTCAGGTCTTTGGAGGCAGAAGAGAATAAAAAGAAGGCACCTGGGCCTCAAGCTCCCTGTTCAGGCATATTTCCATTTTCGATTCCAATGTCTGCACTAGCTGCCAGAACAGTCTTCCCAAAACACAAATCCAATCATGCCACACTCATTTAAAACCCTTCTGGTATTCTGCCCCAGCTTCATGTCCCACCTTTCAAAAAATCCACACTGAGGCTCTTTTATGTTTCTTCATCTTTGCTTATGTGGCCCCTTCTATCTGGAAAAACAAAGAAGCAAATAAACAAACCTACTTAGCCTTCAAGGCTCTGTTTTGATATCTTGTCTTCTGTGAAGACTTCCATGATCTTCCACCGTTACCTGTGCTTCTAAGACAGAATTAGGCCTACTCTTCTGAGTGTGCCCACAGACCACAGTGCTTACTTACAGATTCCATTGCAATTGTGATGCAGGTCTATACATAAGTGCAGAGATTTTCTGCAGGCTCTATCCAAGGAAACCTTAGTTTTCTATCAGTTGATTTTGGGTTCCCAAAATGTGTGCACATACACATTTGAACTGTATTTTGAGCTTCTCGCTGGCTGAGCCTTGTCTTCTTTCCACATGTTGCACAGTGCCAGCTCTTAGAAAGTGATGAATTAGTAAACTCAAGAAACAAATGCAACAGTCCCAGAAGAACCACAAGGTTTCTGGTCATCTGGGATTTCTCTTTACAGAAGAGAATGTGAAGAGTGTCCCAAGTTCAAAGGAGTTTCATTTTGCTCTGACTTCTTATGTGGAGATTAAATACAAAAATGTTGAGGGTAGGGAAGAGTCCAAGGGAAGGCATGAGAGTTGCAGACATTGCAAAAGCTGAGGTCACTATAAACCTGGACTTTAAAGCTTTGTAAAGCTTTGAGTGATATTATTTCATTCTCTTAAAGGAGAAACCACAAGTAAAGTGAGTACCTGGCAGATAACTGATGCTCAACAAAAGTAAGGTCCCATCTCTGTGTACTTGTCTGATGAAATGCAATCTACATTCTCCTTAAACTTATTCATTCCATTACTCAACAAATGTTTACTGAGTATCTGCTCTCTGCCAGGCCTGTGCTTTTCCAAGAAGAATGTATGGAAGAGAACAAAGACAAGAGTAAATCCTTGGGAGATGTTTGCTGTCCAGCCTCTGTTGTCTTCTATACATTCTTCTTGGAAGAGCTCATTTATTGTGGGGGTTTCATCTATATGTTAAACACTGACCATTTTATCTCTCTCCCAGATCTCTCACCTGATTTGTATATCCAATGCCAATTAGCCATCTCTACCCACAAATGCAACATGCCCATGGCTGACCCTGTTGTCTTCCTCTCAATGCCTGATATTTTTCCCTTATTCCAGGAAATATCATCACCAGTCACTTATACTCCAAACCCTGGAATCACCAACTTCAAAGAATATTTGTTGAGTGTCTCCCTTGGACCTTGCACTAGGAGAATATTTTGATAAACATTGTCTGATCTTTGTTTTTTCTTCTTCTTTATACCAGTCCTTCACTCCCACTTCCCCATATCCAGCCTACTTAAATTTGATTTGTTTGATTCCTACAAAGTTTCTTTCCCTCCTCCTCTTCTTCTCCATAGCCAGTGTCCTGATTAAAGTTTTCAAAACCTCTCACTTTTACCATTGGAATATCTTCCTCTCCTCAATGCTTCTAGAGAATTTTGTGAAGTCTCTGTTGGCTCCTCTTTCTTGCAGAATGAAGTCTACCCTCAGTTTGCCATCCAGAGTCTTAAATGATCTGGTGATGGCCCACTTACCTAGCCTTATCCTTCTGTGCCTTTCCTCACTCCAGAACCTTGATCTCCAGCAACACTGATTAACTTATTTCTTTTTAAAAAATAGGCCCCAATATTTTTGACTATAGCATCTTGCTTGAGGTGTTGATCTCCTTGGAGGGCCTTTCTCCCTTTGAAATCTTACGTAGCCTGAAAGGTCCAGCTTCATCTCCTATCTTTCCTGTTTTTCAATATCTCCTTAGACTATAGTAATGTTTCCTTCCCTTATACTTCCAGAGGGCTTTCTTTGTATCATGGTAGTCAAGCCACCCAGGAGAGCTCAGTGTAAGTGCTAGAGAAGACAGGCTCTATCTACAGTTCATCCGTCTGGTTCCACTTCTAATTTCAAATGGGACATTATGTAACTGATCATAATCCTTATGATCTTAGGTTATTATGTTCTGAATTTGTGAAGAGAGAACATCCCAAACCAATGACCCTCCAGGTGCTTTGCTGCTTGATTTAGTTAAAAAGGAAAAAGTTATTTGGAACACATAAATGTCCTGTGAAAACAAAACAAAGCCAAACCTTGTATGAAGTATGGTAGAATCATCGTGGGAGTTTAAAGGAAAAGGGCAGGGAGTGGCTAACTAGGTTAGGGAGGTTTAGCTGGAGAGAATAATAAAATGAAATGACTAGAGCAGTGATAACATCAAGGCAGGTTCTTAAGCAATTTTCATGCCGTTTGTTGGGGTACATTAGGTAATTGTCCTACTTTGTCCCAGCTGGTGTGAAGCAAAATAACTTGGCAATGATTACTGCACAAAAACATGAAGGCAATAGAGGTTGTAGGTATTGTTAGAACTTCATCTGGAGTTACAGGAGGTTTGACCCAGGGTAAAAATCAACAGACTGAAAAAATACAGGAAATAGAGGATAATTTGATTCTCTCTATAGAATCTATTATTTTCTATATATAGAAAATAGGGCAAAACAATAACAAAAAACTGTGTTTTCTCATTTATAGTTTACCTCTTGGAATACGTAGAAAATCACTTCAAAACTGGTTTTCTAGTAAAGCCATGCACTCTAAAGTAACTGACACTTGAAGTCATTCAGACAGTGGAAAATAAAACCATCCACTGAAAACCTGTGGTGCCATTGAGACAAGCAAACATGTCTCACCTGAAGATGCTATTGAGTTATGAGGTCAGGTAATATCTGCTCTGTACAGCTGCTTCCGTCCTGTGTCCCCTGCCACCCTCCCCAGGTAGTCTCTTTCTTCTCTCGCCTCCCATAGTCTCATGGGCATATATCAATTACAACATTTTCCAGACTGTCTTTAATTGTGTTTTTTGTTTCTTCTCTAGACTGAGTATTCCTCAGGGATCTTTAGGCCATTTCTCAAATGTTTTTGCGTTTCCTCCAACAGTGAAATTCCAAGTTTTGTTTTGCCTTTTTATAATTACCTTTACTTAATGAGGAAAGAGGGCAGAACGAGAACTTGGAGGAAAAATGTGAGCTGTTTCAACTGGAGTCCTCCCATGCCAGAAAGGAATGAGATGAAATATAAACATCAAACAAATACAGCTTGATGGTCCATTATAAAGGGATGAGCATCTGCTGAGGATCTTTCTTAGGAAGGAAGAAGCTGACTGTGTCATTATAAGTGAGGGTTTAATGAGGAAGAGCTGTTCAGTACTCAGAACTGTATCAAATCATACAGCTCCAAAGTCCAGGAGACCAGACGGGAAATAGAACAATGCCTTCCCCCAAATGGGGAACAGAGTTCCTCTTCCGGGTCACTGGGATGGCTGACTTTTTGTGAAAACAGAAGGGGGGCTGTACATGTGGGGAAGAGACTGAGGTGCACTGCAAGAGTCTGCATTCCCCCAGCAGGCAGGACCTCTTTACTGAAGAGACAGGGCTTAGCGTCTGAAGCCCAGTTTTACATGCAGGTACCACCAGCAACCAACCGGGTAACCTGGAGCTCTGAGTCTGTTTCATCATCATTCTAAGGTGGCATGGAAATTTCCTGTGCCTCAGTCTTAGAGGGAAGCTCTGAAAGCCAGTGAAGTAAAGGATGGAAAAGTGCTTTGTATTATCATGTCTTACACTCCACAGGAGCTTGTTATGGGCAGCTTTGCCTGGAAGGGGTCTAAACTTATTATCAGTCACGAACTTTTTGAGTTGTTCCTGAGTTACTGTCTCTGGGAAAGGGGTTTAAAGGGAAGATGAAAAGAAGTGAGTCTTGAGGTCCAGTGGTCTGAAGGAAGAGTGAGGGAGGAGAGAAGAGGAAGACACCGCGAAGCACAGTGTGAGAAAGACAGATGGAAAGGGATGGAACATCCTCCCTCAGTTGGCTCCTGAGCTAGCCTTGGCCTGGAGAACCAGGAGATTGAGCCAGAGACCCAGACTGCTCAGCCTGACTTGGGGTCCTTGCCCAGGCACTGGGTCTGGGAGCAAGGACGCAACCTGAGGCAATCATGGCCTTTCTCTTCACTGAGGGCTGGAGTCAAGTTCATAAAGAGAATTGGTGGATGAGGGACTGTGCCAGAGAAAACAGATGCACAAAACAAAGCCTCACCTGAGAGACTTCAGGCAGAGAAAAGGAACATAGGAACATAGACTTCTTTCTGAAACGGGAGTGTGGGTATACATGGCAAAACATGTGAAAGCCCTATTGGAGAAAGACAGTGTATGAAGAAGACCAGTCTTTTCAAGGTCAGTGTTTGTCTTGGAAGCACACTCCATTTTTACCTCCTCAAACAAGCTGCCCTGCCAGGTGCAGTGGCAAGCGCTTGCAATCCCACAGCTACTTGTGAGGCTGAGCGGGGAGGATCTCTTGAACTCAGGAGAGTGTGAGATCAGCCCAGGCAACACGGGAAGACTCCATCTCAAAACAAAAAAAAGAAAAACAAGCAGCCCTTAAAACAGGATTTCTCAATCTCAGCATTATCGACATTTTTGGGCCAGAAAGCTCTTTCCTGTGGGGTTGTCCTGTGCATCATAGAATGTTTAGCAGCAACCCTGGCCTCTACCCGTGAGATGCCAGTAGCACCCTCCCCCGACCTGTGACACCCAAAACTGTGTCTGTGTTCAATGGGAGTGTAACATTGTCCCCAGCCGCGATCTACTGGCTTAAATGTTCTAAAGGAGGATGTTTCTTTGTTAGTTTATTCAACTATTTTCTTATCTCATTTTTTTCCTTTTTTCGTCACTGGAATAAGTTGTTAAATCCTGCTTTACATAATTAATTAATTTGCTCGTTCATTTAACCAAGTTTCCTCCTCATTAAGGTGGTAATGGTAATAAGAAATGATATTTTGGAGGTTCAAATGAGACAGTGTTTGAGCAAATGGTGGATAAACCGTGTCTTATTTAACTACTTAGAAAGTATAATTAGCACATTTGCAAAATTATTGATGGAAGCAGTGTAGAGCTCTTAATTGAAACACTGAACTTGGAGTCAGAAACCCTGTTGTCAAGTGTCTGCCCACATGTGTAGGCTATGGCAACCCAAGCCTAGAGCCTTAAGATCCTAATGGGTTTAACGTGGTCATGTGGTACATTACTACGGTAATATCATTTTATTTTTCTACTTTCTTGAACATAAAAGCAAAAAGCTGTCACTAGGAAGTTTTCTATAGTTGTTTGCCTTTGCCGAAATAGTGATCTTATGAATTGCATCAAACAACGAGTGGGACTAATTTGTATTGATGAATCCATAGAGACATGTAGGTATGGAAAAAACAAAGAAAATAGTAAATGAGAGGTAAGAAATCGCCAAAGGAATCAACTTGATGAATTAAATTGATCAGTGAATCCATAATCATTGAATCAATATATGAATAACTGCATAAATTCTTAATAAAAATAGGAAAATAAACAGAAATACTTTATAAACAAGGGACTGAATCAGAAAAAAACACTTAGAAAAAATACAAAACTTCATGAGAGGCTGAAACTGATCTGCTTCATAGGAGATGCTCTGAAGGTGAAACCTTAAGACAAAGGTAAGTGAAAGCAGCTTATGGCAAATAGACCATGAGCAAGTTGGTTTTATGAAAATTGATTTTAAAGGCATTAATTTTAGGCCCATTGGCTTTAGTTAAGCTGTTTTCTTAGAAAACTGCACTGCTCTGTTGATTCTGAGGTTAGAAGATCAGTTTTTAGAGTAAAAAGAAAAAAAAAGTATAGGCAGATACAGGAAAAGTGAAATAAGGCAGACTGAAAGCACAGATTTCTGCAGAGAGGATACATCCTGTAGTTCTGGCACTTGATGAAATGGAGACATGGCCGAGGCTTACCCCCAGTGGAGGTCCCCTTAGCTGACATACTTTCCCACCTTCCCAACCAATCTCTCCACCTGTCTCTCACCAGCTCCTCATCCTGCCTTGTTTCTCACAGTATTTGTCATGTCCTGAGTTACATATTTATTTGTCTATTTGCTTATTATCAATCTCCTGTACCACCTCAACCCCCTGCAGACACACACACACACACACATGCACACACGCACACTTGTGCACACATACATGCACACACATGTGCAGGAATGTAAAGTCTTTAATTACTCTTGTCTTCTGCAGGGCTTTTCCTTATTTGTCAGGATACTTAGGCATTAAAATTATTATTAAATTATTAATACAAATTATAAGTGTTTCTTAATTTAAAAACTATTAAGTTATAATCAATATTTGTTTATTTAGCCACTAGCTGCTGGGCCTCTTATGCCCAGATCCCCGATCTTCACAATAGATTTGCAAAGCGGGGATCATGTCACATCTTCAAGAAACTCACAGGTTTAGGCGAGCAGGTTAAATGTATTCACAGTAAATATTTGTTTGTTTGTTCAGAGAGGTTTAGAAACAAACCTAAGATCACACAGGTAGTAATTAGCTTAGCTAGCATTTAAAGTTGGGTTAACTAAAGTCTTTCCAAAATGCCATAGTGCCCCAAAAGAGCAATGAGCATCAGGCAAAGAAAGGCCTTTCTTTCCATTCTAAAATATCCTTAAAATTCCACCAGTTTATCTTGTGATCTTCTGGTCTGTTCCATGCTCAGGTGCAGATCAGAGCACTGGAAGGCCCTTGGAAGGCCACTTGGTTCAAGTGACTGACCTGGCCCAGGTGGGAGACACCTGTGCAAGGCCACCAGCTTGAAACTCCAGAACCTTTTAGAGATGATGCTAAAGTAGCACTTTCCAGTAGAAATACGATGTGAGCCATAAATAATTAAAAGTATTCTAACAGCCACATTAAAAAAGGCCAAGTTAATTTTGATAACATATTTTGTTTGACACAATATATCTAAAATATTATCATTTCACTATCCAATCAGTATCAAAATGAGTAATGATATATTTTACAGTAATTCTAACATTAGATTAATTAAAATAAGCCAAAACATAAAATTCTGTTTCTCCATTGCTCCAGCCACATTTCCAGTGCTTGACAGCCCCATGTGGCTGATGATGGCTTTCATGACAAGTGAGATGTCAGAGAAACACTTGGTGCTGGCCAATCAGATGGAGGAGCTTCCTCACGGGTCCTTTGTGTAATATCTCCTTGAGGATTTTGGAGTCTCTCTAGCACGGCTGCTCTGGGTGGACAGCCTGCTTACCCAATGGCTCTGTGTTCCAACAAACAAGGCAGAAGCTTCATACTTTTCACAATCCTCAAAAGTCATGTTGTGTCGTTTCTTCTGTACCCTGGTGTTTCAAGCAGATGCAAAGTCACCCAGATTCATAGGGAGAGGCCATAGACCCCCTTTTGATGGAAAGAACTATCAAATAATTTGGGGCAATATTTTAAAACCAGCACTTCTCTTTAGCGGGTTGATTTGTATCCTGTAAAATATGTCCAAGTCTTAACTTCTAGTACTATCAATGTGAACTTATTCGGAAATAGGGTCTTTGCAGATCTAATTAAGTTAAAGATGTCAATATGAGATCATCCTGGATTTAGGGTAGGTCCTAAATCTGATAACTGGTGGGTTTTTTGCGGGGGAGAGAGGGGCAAAGTCTCTATGGCCCAGGCTGGAGTGCAGTGGCGCTATCTTGGCTCATTGCCAACCTCCCAGGTTCAAGAGATTCTCGTGCCTCAGCTCCTGATTAGCTAGGACTACAGGCATGCATCATCACACCTGGCTAATTTTTTTTTTTTTTTTTTTTTTTTTTTTTAGTAGAGATGGGGTTTGGTCATGTTGCCCAGGCTGGTCTCAAACTCCTGATTTCAGGTGATCTACCGCGTTGCCCTCCTAAAATGCTGGGATTACAGGCATGAGCCACCGCTCCCAGCCAAGATAACTGGTGTTTTTAATTGAAGAAAGAAAGAAGAGGGGCATTTGAGACACACAAATGTAAAGACCTAGGAAAAGCATGTGAAGATGGAGGCAGAGACTAGAGTGATACGTCCACAAGCTAAGGAATGCCTGAACCACTGAAGCTGGAAGGAGCAAGGAAGTCTTCTTCCCTAGAGCCTTTGGAGGGAACGTGCTCTTGCTGATATCTGGATTTTGGATTTTTGGCCTCCAGAACTGTAAGAGAATAAATTTCTGTTGTTTTAAGTTACCAAGCATGTGGTAATTTGTATAGAAGACCAAAGAAATGTAATCAAAGGATTACAGGGTTGAGGGAGTGGGTGAGTTTTCTGCTTTTATTTTTCCAGCCAACAGAGATTGGGGGGTGCAGGTGGTGCACAGTACATCTCTCTCCTCCACCCTTCTTACAATAATATGGCTGGATGCAGCCCTGTCATCCTTGACTGTCCTTGGTGTCAAATTATGTTCAACGGCACCTCTGCCATCACTCTGCTCATGAAATTCCTGTTGCTCCCAGTAAGGACTTGATTTTGCCTCCAAGGATGGGCTCCTCTTTGAAGAACTGTTCTCTGCCACCTTTCTCTGAGATGTCCAGACACAAGCACCATCTCCTGTTTTCTCCCATGACCCTGTTTGATCTCCACTGCATTTCTCATAGACTGGCTCAAGGTTACAGATACTTCCTCTTTTGTTGAAGATAGAGCTTATAAGTCAGTCTGATCTTTGTTCTCTTTGTTGCTTTGAGGTGATTTCCAAGACAAGAAGATAGCAACATCTTAACTTTATCTAGCATTTAAAACTGGGAGTCCACATCATGCCATCCAAAATTTTTATATTCCACAGCAAGGGTCAACAAACTTTTCCTCTCAAGGGCCACATAGTAAAAATTTTTGTTTTTTTACTGCAACTACTCAACTCTGCCATTGCAGTATAAAAGCAGCTGTAGACAACATATAAACAAATTAGTATGGCTGCGTTTTTATAAAACTTTGTTTAAGGACACTGAGTTTTGAATTTCATGTAATTTTTCTATGTCACAAAATATTATTCTCCTTTTGATTTTTTCCGCAAACCTCAAAAAATGTGAAAACCATTTTTTTTTTCTTTTTGAGACAGGGTCTCACTCTGTCACCCAGGCTGGAGTGCAATGGCACAATTTCTCCTCATGGCAGCCTTGACCTCCCAGGCTCACATGAATCCTCCTGAATAGCTGGGATTACAGGTGGGCACCACCATGCCCAGCTAATTTTTTGTACTTTTTGTAGAGACCGAGTTGCTACCCAGGAGGGTCTCAAACTCCTGGGCTCAAGTGATCCTCCAAAGTCTTAGGATTACAGGGGTGAGCCACTGCGCCTGGCCTAAAAACCATTCTTTTTTTTTCTACCCCCCAAGACAGAGTTTTGCTCTGTCACCCAGGCTTATCCAGAGATTTTTGAGTGCGACGTTTGCCTAATGGAGAGGATTATACATTGATACACAAAAAGCTCACAACATTTTCAAAGGAATTTTATCAATTTACACTGAAAACAAGGGATGGCACAAAATGAAAAGAGGCCTTTGAATTCCCAAACTACAATGGGCATCTAACAGTCTTAGAAAACTAATCAACTTGTGGGGAGAAGGGAGAAAAAAGAAAAGAAAACTACTCAGTTCTAAGTACAAGCCATTTCTTATGGAAAAGGAAAAGTGGCTCGGACAGCAGAACCGAGAGCCCAGAAAGAGCTGATAGCCCTAGAGATCAACCCTCCTTGTCAACAGGAAAGCACCTTAATCAAGGTACCCGTAACCTCCGCCTTGCTGGATTTCAGAATTGCTCTGGACAAGTAACTGCTATGTACTTCTTATTTTTGAATGGGAATGTCTATAACAGCTGCCTTATATTGGACTCACTATTGTATGTCAAATATGTAAAGGACAGATAACTCCTCTCCTCTCTTCACAGGTCTTCAGGTTGAAAGAAATAATACTCGAGGAGTTGTACCCAAGAAATGGTACTGTACCAAGGAGCCTCAACCTCAGCTGCACCTGCTCTAGAGAATGAGGTCCTGGACTTCACATTGATTCTTAAAGGGATGAGACTTGGTGGCCCTGGGCATGAGCGTATTTCACACATGAGAGGGTTGGAAATTGTTGTTGCCTGAGGGTAGGCTGGAGCAGAGGGTATTATACAAATACGAGCACAACAATACTGTCATTCCATGTGCTCATATTATGCAGTGACTTTGACCCTCCTCCCATCAATACAGGAGGCCTGTAATAGGTTACCAGAGTCAGCAAATAAAAATATGGGAAGACACACACATTTTTAGTATAAGCATGACCTAGATATTGCTTGTGACATATTCAATACCAAAATACATATTTGTTATTTACCTGAAATTCAAATTCAGCTAAGCATCTTTTATTTTATTTGACAACTCTAGAATTTCTTCCCCTTAAATCCAGGCAGGTGGCCAGGGACGGTGGCTCACACCTGTGATCCCAGCACTTTGGGAGGCCGAGGCGGGTGGATCACCTGAAGTCAGGAGTTTGAGACCAGCCTGGCCAACGTGGTGAAACCCCGTCTCTACTAAAAATACAAAAATTAGCCGGGCGTGGTGGCACACACCTGTATTCCCAGCTACTTGGGAGACTGAGGCAGGAGAATTGCTTGAACCCAGGAGGCAGAGGTTGCGGTCAGCCGAGATCGCACAACTGCACTCTGGCCTAGGTGACAGATAAGACTCCATCTCAAAAAAAAATAAAAAATCCAGGCAGGTTTGTGGTTAGGGCAGAAATGATGCTGTATGACTTCCAAGGCTGGGTCCCAAAAGATGATACTGTTGCCTGGTTCTATCTCAGGTCATTTGCTTTGGAATAGTCACCATGCTGTGAGCAAGCCCAAGCAGCCTGTAGAGGGGCCTGCATAAAGAAGAACAGGGGTTCCTGGACAGCAGCTCTGGCTAGGATCCCAAACAACAGTCAGTTTCAAACTGCTCACCATATGAGTGTGTGAGAAAGCCATCTTCTAAGCACATCTTTACTTCAGCCCACAGTTGAGCCATTCCACCTGTGCCATGTGAAGCAGAAATGAACCAGCCCCACTGAGTTCAGCCCAACTTCCTGATTTGTAAGCAAAACAAATGGTTGCTGTTATCGTAACCACTAAGTTTTATGGTTGTTTGTTATGTAATAATGAGATAACTAGAAAAATAGGTCACACATTGTATTAGGGTTCTCCAAAGAAACAGAACCAACAGCAGATATACACACATACATACATATATATGTATATATACTTATATAGGTACAGATAATGATTCTCCTAGACTTATTATGGGGTTACAATCTGATAAACCCATTCCAAGTTGAAAATATCATAAGCCAAAATGCATTAAATATACTTAACCTACTGAACATTGTAGCTTACCCTAGCCTGCCTCGAACATTCTCTGAACAGTTATACTAGCCTACAGTTGGGCAAAATCATCTAACACAAAGCTCATTTTACAGCAAAGTGTTGAATATATTGTGTAATTTATTAAATAGTATAGACAAAGTGAAAAACAGGAAGGTTGTATGAATAATCAAAGTATGGTTTCTACTGAATGCATATCACTTTTCCATGGTCATAAATCTGAAAAGTATTAGGTCAAATCATTATAAGTTGAGGATTGTCTATATAAAGAGAGATTTATTTTAAGGAATTGGCTCATGTAACTGTGTAGACTTGGCAAGGCCAGAATCTGCAAGATAGGCAGCCAGGTTGGAGATCCAGGGAAGAATTGCAGTCTGAGTCCCAAGGTCAGTTGCACCCAAGTGGAAATTCTTCTTGCTTGGGCGAAGTCAGTCTTTGTTCCATTAAGACATTCAACTAGTTGGATGAGGCCCACCAACAACATGGAGGACTATCTGCTTTACTCAAAGTCCATTGTTCAAATGTTAATCTCATCAAATATGTCTTCACAGAACATCCAGAGTAATGTTTGACCAAATATCTGAGCACTGTGGCCAAGCCAAGTTGACAAATGAAACGACCCATCACACACATTAAAGCCTCCTAGGTCAGAATTTATCTAAACCAGCACTTTTCCTCTAGGGCCCGGAGAGGCCTCAACACTTTATAATGTAGAAGGTCACTGGAACTGGCAGTAGTACCTGCTCTTTGCTACCAAAATTTACCACTGATGCTCATTACCCAAATTGCAACTCTGGGGATGTAACATTCACACAGGTGATAAAACAAAGATGAAAATTCACTTTTTAATGCCACAGAGAAATGAATCCAAGCAAAACATATCTTCATCAGAACTCCACGAACTGTGAAAGTAGGGCAAGTTATAACCTGAATAAGAAGCACACAGGCATAAATGATTTGACTGTGATGACCAGAGTGTCCAGAGATGAAAATCGATGGGAGGGTTAGTTAACACTTCTCTCTCTCTCAGTAATTCCCTGACCTACAGAAAATGGGAGATGAGAATGTGCAGCCCTGCTCCAGCAGTATTTCTGGAACATACCAAACAAGGGATGGACATGACAAGAACATCTCTGAACCGTATGGAGGGCGGAGGAGTGTCCTGCTTCCAGGGAGCCTTTCCTCTGCTCTCTTACCTCTCTTCCTTTATGCCTTATGCTAGCCCCCATCCCTCATCTTGCTTAGACAAACCAATTTCCCTTTATTCAAGGAAAAGGAGAAGGGCACTTTACATTATATGCCAGAAACTACCCCAAAATAATCTGGGTTGAGAGTGACCATTGCATTCATCACTTTCAGAAATCCAAGCAAAAGGTATCTTCATCAGAACCTCATGAACTATGGAAGTAGGACAAGTTATAACCTTAATAAGAGGCACACAGGCATTAATGATTGATAGAGTGAAAAACTTATGGGAGGAGGGTATCTTATAACCTTGATAAAAGGCACATGGATTTAAATGATTTGATTGTAATGACCAAAATGTCCAGAGACACACAATGTGTCTGTTTTTACTAGGTAGAACTCGACTTTCAATTTGGATTAACACTACAAAGTCACATTCCAGATACCTGGACCCTGAATGTCTAGTTGTTTCATGTCCACTGTAGACATATCTTACATGCAGAAGAGTATTGACCATATCCACAAGGCCCTACCTCTTCTTAAACACTTTGCATGTGAAACCCTCTTACTTTTTTCTCTAATCGAGCAGTCACTTATTACCCTAAATTCCCATGATGCTTGTACATTATTTCATTATTTTATCCACTTCTTTGATCAAAGACAAAATCAGTCTAAGTTGGGTCACCTTCCTGAAGTTTGAATAAATTATTTCATTACTTACCATCCCTTCTTACAGAAGTTTCTTCTTCTGTAAGAGTGACAGTTGTAACATGACAATTGCCATGCCTGCCTCACAGATTGCTGTGACCATCAAATGAGACAAACTGGGGAAATGCCTCAAAAATTAAAAAACAAAGAAAGACAAACATACGATATAAAAGATACTGTTAGAGCTGCTCAGAAAACAGAAATGTAATCTGTCCTGCCTTTCAATAACATCACCCATTCATTGTTCCAAACTCCTAAGGTCAAACTTACTTAGTGCAGGAGTACGACCTTGGCTCACTGCAACCTCCACCTCCTGGGTTCAAGCGATTCTCCTGCCTCAGCCTCCCAAGCAGCCAGGATTACAAGTGCTCACCACCATACCTGTCTAATTTTTGTATTTTTGGGAGAAACGGGGTTTCACCATGTTGGCTAGACTGGTCTTGAACTCCCAACCTCAAGTGATCCTCCTGCCTCGGCCTCCCAAATTGCTCGGATTACAGGCATGAGCCACCGCACCTGACTACCTAAGGTTTAACTTTTGAAGTCATCTTTAATATCACATTCTTTTTCACTAAACCTTTGACTGTGTTAGTGATGTCTCAAATCTGCTCCATGAATGGTCACTAAACCTTTCAAAAACTTCCTTTATCCTTTTTTCACTTTCCAAGAATGTCTTTAATTTGCCCCCCTCCCCTGGCCAACCACCTCCAAATCCAATCTTTCTGATACCTTACTGTCATAGTGCTCATCCTAAGCCATGTATGTTTAAATTCCTACTCCAGAATTACCAATATCTCCTCGATTTCCTGTAGGACATATTTCAAAGGCCATCATTCAGCTCATCCAGCCTTATCTTCCACCTCTCCCCCTTAGAATTTTCTGACCGAGCAGTAAAGTCTTTCTTCACTTTTCCAATACTTTTCTTATACTACCTTTTTTTTTATCCTAGATGGCCCTTCTCTTATTCTATACTAATAAAAAAGTTTAATGTGATTTATAGGGCTCAGCTCAGGCATAATCATTAGAGAAAGGAAGAGATATTTAGTCTGCTCTCATAATAATGCAAGTTTCATCAGCATTTGCTAATGTCCAGCCTCTCTGTACACATGAATCTGGGCAAATTACTTAGTTAGATTTACAAGTACACCTTGTTCCATAATACTAAGCCAAAAAGGATAAAAGCCATTTGAACATAAATGTCCTATGATTTAAAAAAAATTGGTACATGCGGCACAAATTCCTCTCCATTTACATCTAATGTTATGACTATTCAGAGCGATAAAAAATTTTTACAAAATTTTCCATATATGTAAGTATACATGGAATTCATATAGCTGAAATACCTTTAGAATGCTTATATCAATTTGCTAATAGATATAAAACTGATTAATCTTCTAAAGTTCAATAAGGTATTCTCCTCTTTTCTACAATACAGAAATCAATTTTATCTCTACCAAACAAAATTAATTTGCATTGCTATGGACAGTGCTCATATGCATTACAGGTTAACTTGTACTTCCACAGAAAGTTGATGAAAAGGCAACCAAAGGAGCACACCTGTTTACAATCAGACAATTCCCCTAGTGTACTTGTGACAAAACCCAGGCCTCCCCGATAGGACATGCATCAATCTCTCTTGCCCATTTCCATGTCTTGGATGATTTTTACTGATGATCCCAATGGGGAACATTACTTATGGGGGAAAAGTAAGCAGGAATGGTCTCTAGTTGGATGGGCCATGGCTATGGAATGGGGAAATAGGCGCAGAGTTAAAGCTGAAAAAACTGATGCCCAACTAAAGTGCCATGGATGGGGACAGGTGAACCCCCACCAACTTATGGCAGCTTCATATTCAACCCCCTGATTCTAGGACCTTTCTGTCACTGCAAACAATAACCCTGATTCCTATTTGCAACTCCATAACAACTTCCCAACACAATCAGACCACCAAGACATGCTTTACCACAACCCAAGATGTGGTGGAGATTTTTGAGCTGACTGTGTTCCATTCAACCTAAACCTAATGTCATAAGACTTTGGCTCACACTCACCACCAGACTTCCAGATCAGGACACTGCTTCCACTTTGGAGGGATTATGGCTGTCTTAAGACACCAAGTGAGAGGTTGTCCCACACAGAGTAGGTTCAGTAGAAGCCAATCAAAAGCTCTGAGGAATGTCAGCAGTACTCCTGCTGAGGGACATAGATGGCATGCTGACCACTGCCCAGGAAACTCTTCATTAGGCAGCTAAACCCAAGAAAAGCAGCATAGCTCCTTAACCCAGGGAATACTCCAAGGGAGACCAGACACCTGGGCGCACTGACTTAACTCCTTTATGACTCATGGGTAGTGAATATTCTTGGCTGCTTACTCAAGTGGGACACCAAATGCTCTCCAATGCCATCTCTTTTCTTTCCCCATGATCCATGAATTCATGAATTTCATCCTCAAGGGCTTGGAAAAACAGATGAAGTTGTGATGAAAACCGCCAGTCCCAGCCATAGTTACTATTTGTAGCTATGAATAATGGATGCCCTTGTAAATTTGATTTTAAAACAACAAACAATTTATTCTACATAAAAATGCACAAATGCATAATTTTAAAATTTATTTTATTTCATTGAAAATTGATTTTGTTCTGCTACTGATGCAGAAAAGTTCATGTAAACTCAACAGATCTTGGCTCCTCATCTGTAAAATGAGAGGGTTGGACCAAATGATTTCTACATGTTCTTTCAGAATGATCACACATGTTCATGATTGAAGGGAAAGTCAGCATTCATTAATGGAGGATCTTGTGCTGGACAAAGGCATTCTTGGTACAAGGGATTACTGGCCTTTGACTTGTTCTTTCCTCTTGAGTTTCCCTTATTCTTGTGGTCCCTGGTTGATTCCCACTGCTACCATCATGCTGACTTCAGACGGATTCTGAATACTCTCACACCCAAGGTGGACACAAGCCCTTGCCTTGGCTCTCCCAAACAACACTTCGATAAAGCGGAAATATTTAAAATGGAAATACACAGAGTAGTTTGCACACATGTAGAATAAATTGGCTTATAAGCTATGACTTATTCTTACTTTTCTGATTCACCACACTGATCCCACTTAGATTAGGCCTCTATCTGCCTCTAGGGATAAAAAGGCAGTCTTGAGCATGTCTCACCTAAAAGTGTCTTTAGGGAAACACAGAATCCTCAAAACTCAGGCTCAGAGAGAGTAAGAAAGGCCCAATCAACTGAGGCCCACCTTACAGTGTTCTGGTCTTATCTGAAGACTTTGCCTCTTCTTGAGATGAAAGATACCAGGAATGGCCATTTGGAAGACCCTATCCTCACTTCCCCACTCCTGTACCACCAGTTCAAGAGTCATGCCCTAGGAGGACTCAGCATGATAGCCATATTATATTAGAACAAAACACAGTAGCCCCAGCACTCTTGTAATGAAATAATACAGTGAGAAATATATATAAGAAAATGGACCTATGGGCACCGTGGCTCACACCCGTAATCCCAGCACTTTGAGAGGCTGAGGCAGGCAGATCAGTTGAACTCAGGAGCTTGAGAACAGCCCGGGCAACCTAGCAAAACTCTGTCTCTATTCCCCCACAAAAAAATACAAAAATTAATTGGGCATGGTGGTATGTGCCTATAGTCCCAGCTACTTGGGAGGCTAAGGTGGGAGAATGGCTTT